>NC_000003.12:132644967-132796483 GCF_000001405.40 Homo sapiens | reverse complement strand
ACATGAAAAAATGCTCATCATCACTGGACATCAGAGAAATGCAAATCAAAACCACAATGAGATACCATCTCACACCAGTTAGAATGGCGATCATTAAAAAGTCAGGAAACAACAGGTGCTGGAGAGGATGTGGAGAAACAGGAACACTTTTACACTGTTGGTGGGACTGTAAACTAGTTCAACCATTGTGGAAGTTAGGGTGGCGATTCCTCAGGGATCTAGAACTAGAAATACCATTTGACCCAGCCATCCCGTTACTGGGTATATACCCAAAGGACTATAAATCATGCTGCTATAAAGACACATGCACACGTATGTTTATTGCGCCACTATTCACAATAGCAAAGACTTGGAACCAACACAAATGTCCAACAAAGATAGACTGGATTAAGAAAATGTGGCACATATACACCATGGAATACTATGCAGCCATAAAAAATGATGAGTTCATGTCCTTTGTAGGGACACGGATGAAATTGGAAATCATCATTCTCAGCAAACTATCGCAAGGACAAAAAACCAAACACCACATGTTCTCACTCATAGATGGGAATTGAACAATGAGAACACATGGACACAGGAAGGGGAACATCACACTCTGGGGACTGTTGTGGGGTGGGGGGAGGGGGGAGGGATAGCATTAGGAGATATACCTAATGCTAAATGACGAGTTAATGGGTGCAGCACACCAACATGGCACATATATACATATGTAACTAACCTGCACATTGTGCACGTGTACCCTAAAACTTAAAGTATAATAATAAAAAAAGAAAAAAGAATTTTGTTCCCATGGAGCTTTAAGCAAATGGAGATAACGAATAAGAGAGCAAAGAAGTTAATGAACAAGATCATTAAAAATAGGTAAAAAAAAAACTGGGTGAAGTAAGGCAGAATGTAGGGGAAGAGCAGTCAGGAAGACCTGCTTGAGGAGATGTCCTCTGGCTGGAGATCCTTTTTTTTTTTTTTTTTTTTTTTGAGATGGAGTCTCACTCTGCTGCCCAGGCTGGAGTGCAGTGGTAAGATCTTGGCTCACCGCAACCTCTGCCTCCTGGGTTCAAGCAATTCTCCTGCCTCAGCCTCCCGAGTAGCTGGGATTACAGGCATGTGCCATCACACCTGGCTAATTTTTGTATTTTTAGTAGAGACAGGGTTTCGCCATGTTGGCCAGGCTGGTCTCGAACCCCTTACCTCAGGTGATCTGCCTGCCTCAGCCTCCCAAAGTGCTAGGATTACAGGCATGAGCCACCATGCCCGGTGGAGATCTTAATGTCCAGACAGGGCTGGACATGCTGAGATGTGAGGGCAGAGTGGTCCTGACAGGAGACTCATAAGGTGAAGCCCATGAGGCCTTTGCTGGGTTGAAGGAACAAACCCCGGAAAGGAGCATCCACTGTCATTTTTAAGCAAGGGGATGGCATGATCTGATTCATAGTTTAGGGAAAGGAATCAGAAAGAAGGAGACTATGAAGCCAAAAACAACTGAGGGAGAGGATGGATGATGTGTCTATAAGAAAACAAAATTAGTAAAGGCAGGAGAAGGGCATTGGGCACACTGGAAAAAACAATCCTTGTAGCTGCTCCAGACTAGAGGTATACTGAGAATTGACAGCACCAGGACTAGCTCACATGGAGGCAGAGGAATTTTCCTAAAGCGGCAGGGAGATAGGGGTGAATAGAAAGAAGACCTGAAAGTGGAGAAATGTAGCCTATTCAAGGCAAGGCTAACACAGAATTTACCTTTAAACATATTCATTAGGATTAGAATTTATCTCAGGTTAAGAAAAGCTCCCTGGGAATTGAGCTGACTTGATACTTTAAGTAGAAGAGGTAATTTGGGTGGTTCGATATTTCCTCTGCAGAAATGCTCCAGAGTGATGACTCCTTTGCAATTCCATATCATTGGGGCTTTGTATTGTGTTCCATTCATCTGTGTATCTGTCCTTTTACCAATAACAATGTTTTGATTTGTAAAGACTTTATAAATGCTTAGTTTAAGAATAAGTCTTAAAATCAGACAGTGTGAGTCCTCCAACTTTCTTCTTTTTCAAAATTATGTTCCCTACTCCGCAATTCTGTCTTTTAAAATCTTGTTTTAATCTTGGTGAGAATTTTTTCATATTTACTACATATAGCTGGTATATTTATTTTAAGTGGGAAATGGAAAATTTTTAAAAGAAGAGCTGTTAGAAATACTTGGGCTGCAAGTAACAGAATCCTTCATTTCAATGCCTTAAACAAAGAGGGCTTTATGTTTCCTTGCATAAGAGAAATCTGAAGTCAGGTGTCTGCTAGCATTGGTTCAGTGCTTCAATAATGTCAGGGTCCACTTCTCTGTGGGTCTTTTGGCCTCTCTCTCATAGTCACAAAATGGCAGTGATATGGATTGGAAATTTGTTCCCTCCAAGTCTCCTGTTGAATATGACCTCCAATGTTGGAGTTGGGACATGGTGGGAGGTGTTTTGGTTATGGGGGCAGATTCCTGATGAATGTCTTCATGCCCTCCTTATGGTAATGAGTGAGTTCTCCCTCTGAGTTCACATGAGATCTGGTTGTTTAACAGAGTGTGGTGCCTTCACCCACCCCTTGCTCCCCCTCTTGCCATGTAACACTGCCTGCTCTTCCTTCACCTTCCACCATGATTGTAAACTTCCTGAAGCCCTGACCCAGAGCAGGTACTGATGCTGGCACCACACTTCTTGTACATCCTGCAGAACCATGAGCCAAAATAAAACTTTTTTCTCCATAGAGTACACAGTCTCGGGTATTCCTCTATAGCAATGCAAATGGATGAATTCAGGCAGCTACGGCTGCTATCTTATCAATTTAAGGTAGGAAAAAAAGGAAAAATAGGGGAGGGGTAACTTACGTCTCCTTGTCCAAAATTGTGTCAGATGACCTCCTTTGGCTACAGGAGAGGCTAGGAAAGTGAGTACTTTTGTTTTTCAGCCTACAAAATGACAGAGGTTAGAAAGAAAAGGGTTTCATATGAGAGGTGAGAGTGCCAACCTGCAGCATCTGCCACAAAAATTGATGAGAAGTTATCCCCCCAAAGAAGCTTTTCATTAAATTCTTCCTCCACCCTAAAAAATCACTTCTTCCACCAGTGATAATGAATCCATCTTAAGCCACATTGCTTTCCTTCTCCACGTTGGATGGGAACCATCTCAGTGACTCCTGACTCTGCCTCTCCCAGTCATGAGAGTTAATTTTCCCCCAGCATTCTGCAGCACGTACGCAGTCTGTGAGAGTCAGAGAGACCAGCTAGAAAAATAAACCTAGTCTATTGCTAAAGAACAAGAGTGACATTATGATCAGGATACAGTCTAGCTCTCTTTAATAAATTTTCAAGGAAAGACTATTAGAATTCAATTCATGTCCATGAATTGCCCATTTCAGTCCTTGCATAGAAGAAACTGGGTATTTCTTCTTGTCTCTCATTCAATAAACATTTACAGGACTCCTATGTGCCAGGAGCTAAGGGTTTTTATTCTTTTTTCCTTTGTTATCGTTCCTTATCCTATTTTCTTGGATTATTTTTCTTTCCAAGTGTATGTGTAATATGTGTGTGTGTGAAGTTACAGACAAAATGTCAAGCCTGCAGAGTCAGGGCCCCATAACTATAGCTCCCTCCAGTCTCCTTCCAGGGCCATTAAGAGCACTGCTCACACCCGTTTGAGAAGGAAGGTCTGAGAAGGTACGAAGAATCAGGATGCAAGTGGTATCTGTCAGTAGTGCCACTTCTTACAACATTCATGTACTTATTTATGCATTTATTTATTCATAAATATTTGAGCCCATTTGGTAGATGTTGGGGACATTGTGGTGAACATACAGATATGGTCTCTATCCTCATTGAATTTATATTTGCTGTGGGGCAATGTTTTTGAAATATCAACCAATGTTATTATATTTCTCCCTTGAGGCAATGAGCAGAGAAAAAAGACAAGACTTCTTCTGTGTTAGGGGAATAGAAGTGATATTAGGCTACACAAAAATGTTACCATGAGCAGGGCTTCACCTCACACAAATACCCCACTAAACGAAAAAAAAAAAAATAGTGTGCGTTGAATGGAAGAGATGGGGAATTACTCTAGAAAGACCAGGGAGGACAGAAGGGAGCAATCCAGACCTGAAAGGGACAATGGATGAGCATAAGATGTGTCTCTGTCAAGGACCATAGTGAGGAGAGCTGTGGAACCAGGAACCTCATGGTAGCAAAGGGTGGATTTGCCAAGACATAGGGATCACCGCTTATCACCCACACCTGGGCCTATACCAATCGTTCTTTCCCTGGGCATCCAAAATCCATGCCTGCCTCTTCTTCCTGGGCATAGAGTTAGACTATATTTCCCAGCCTCCCTTGCTATTAGATGAAACCCTATTGTGAACCAGTGAGTTCTGGCCAATGGAATGTGGATAGAAGTGATACACACTTCTTCCTGTTTTGTCTATGCTCCCTCCATGCTCCCTCTTTCCTGTTCTGCCAGGTAGAGATGACAGGCTCTAAATCCCTAGGGGACAGCAAAACCAAAAGGTAGAAAAAGCTTGTGTCCCTGAGTCCCTGCTTGGAAGAAAATGACACAAGGTAGCCACCCTGATCACACATACCTGCATTGGACTCTTACTTGAGCAGAAGTGAACTTTTATGGTGTTAAGCCACTAAAATGTTGTAGTGTGTTACAGAAATTTTAGCCTATGCTAACAAATATTCCCAGCAACCACCCAGCTCAAGTAACACTTTCCTGTCCCTAGACTTAGTTCATACCTCAACCAACTTACCTCATGAAGACAGGTACCCCATTTGTAAAATACCAGGACACAGTACGTACCCACCCCACAAAAGGAGGATGGGACTCTCACAATCTACCCTGGCATTGTGATGGCAAGGAAGGGAAAGGTCCTGCTTGTGAGGCTAAACAGAATCTGGTTAAGATTTTTACTTTGAAAGAGTGATTACACACACAAGCGTTATACAATATAGAAGGAGAGAGAAACGGTAAACAAGTAAATGTAGAGTTCATATAGAATTACAAATCATGCTAAGCTCTATAGAGCAAAATTACAAATAGTGTAAAGAGAATAACATTTGGGATACAATTTATCTTTGCGTTGGTGAGTGAAGAGTTTTCTGAGGAAGCAACAGTTGAATTGAAACCTAAAAAGGGAATCAGACTCAAGCAGGTTAAGAGTTGGGGCAAGGACATTTTAGGAAAAAGGAGCAGCATGTGCAAAGCCCCCTGAGAAAGGAAGGAGGTAGGCTTATTTGAAGATCTGAAAGATGCCAGCAATAGCTATGACATATAAAGAGGGGAGGAGAGGTGTATGTGGTGGGAATGGAGAGATGGGGAGAGGCAAGTTCATACAGGGCCATGTAGGCAGTGTTCTTGAGTTTGTATTTTATTACAAGAGTCTAGAGGTGCATTGAGGAATTCTAAGCATGGATTATGGTCAGGATTGCTTTAAAAAAAAAATCAAACTGGCCAAGATGACAACTGGTTGGAACAGAAGCAAAAGTGGGAGGAGAGAGCTCATTTTGTGAGGCTATTTTAGAGTTCCAGGCAAGATAGAATGGTGTATGAACTTAGAGGGAAGGCAGCATGTATATGGGAAAAATGAATGTGTTTAAGATCTGCTTGAGAAGTTGAATGGAATAGCAGCTCTTGCATGCAATATCCTTAAACTCTACTACAAGACGGGAGAAGGTAATAAGTTGTGTTCGACAATGTTCAACCCATTATCTGTTGAGAGGATGCAGCAAACAACAGTAACAGTACCTTCCCCTATGTCAGAATCAGCACCATTTGAGCAGAAAAGTCTGGAGGAGATAGAGGTTACGGGGAAAGCTGGGCTTGAGTCAGAAAGCTGTAGCCCAATTGGGTGGGTGACCGTGTACTCACTCAAATATGTTGTACCAGAAGGGATAGAGGCTGATTAGCTAGCAACTTTGAAACCTAATAAATTAGGACTTTCCCCAGACAGGATCTAAGCACTATGGGGGAGGAAGTGGTTCTCTAATAATTTTATCTTTTGCCAAATCTTGTTAGTTATTAATAACAATAGCAAGAGAAAGAAGAGCTAATATTATAGAGCTGCTTGTACCAGAGTCCTGTGCTAAGGAAGGTGTATGTGTTCTCCCATTTAAGCTTATGAGAGCCCTGTGAGATGGGTACAACTGCCCTTGTTTACTAACACTAAGGCTTAGAGATTAGCACCCTGTCCAAGATCATATCTCTCGTAACTACAGTAGTTACTCAAACCCAGCTCTGTCCTGACTCCTGAGTCAAGGCTCCTACCAATGTAGTCTCGTGCTGTATGGAGGATTCCAAAGATGCTTTGGGGCTCAGCAGGGCAATGTCAGATGGGTACAGTCTGACAAGTCATTTATTTGCCACCTCCGTACCAGAACTAAAAGCTTCTAAAGTATACAGATTCTAGCCAGGCATGGTGGCATGTGCCTGTACTCCCAGCTACTCAGGCGTCTGAGATGGGAGGATCGCTTGAGCCCTGGGAGGTCGAGGCTGCAGTGAGCCATGATTGTGCTACTGTACTCCAGCATGGGTGACAGAGTGAGACCCTGTTTCAAGAAAAATGACAGATAGATAGATAGATAGATAGATAGATAGATAGATTCTATCTAAATAATAGTAGATGCTAGGATTATGCCTCTTTCAGCTAGCTGTCTTACTGTATCTGTTATCAGTCCATAACAATGTCCTATAAAAATTATAATGTACTGTTACAAATTTTTTTTCTTATTTGAAGCTGTATGCAATCCATAGTGATTTATCTTTTAGAATAAGGCAGCAATGGTTATAAGGCACTCACTTTACAGTAAGCGATCCTCCCATTTTCAAGATGATTAAAAAATTAAAAAACACAAATAAAGCATGTACAAGATTTTTAAAGTTAAACACACACACACACACACACACACACACACACACACACTACCATAGACTGGGTGGCTAATGAACAACAGAAATTTATTTCTCACAGTTCTGAGATTAGATGCCTGAGACCAGGGTGCCAGCATGGTGGAACTCTGGTGAGCTCCTTTTTCAGGGTTGCAGACTGCTGATCCTTGCTGTATCCTTTTATGGTGGAGAGCAGAGAGCAGTAAGCAGCAAGCTCTCTAATGACTCCTATAAGGGCATTAGTCCCATAGACCTCTTTTTTTTTTGAGACAGAGTCTCGCTATGTTGCCCAGGCTGGAGTGCAGTGGCACGATCTCAGCTCACTGCAAGCTCTGCCTCCCGGGTTCATGCCATTCTCCTGCCTCAGCCTCTCTAGTAGCTGGGACTACAGGCGCCTGCCACCACGCCCGGCTAATTTTTTGTATTTTTAGTAGAGACGGGGTTTCACAGTGTTAGCCAGGATGGTCTCGATCTCCTGACCTTGTGATCCACCCGCTCGGCCTCCCAAAGTGCTGGGATTACAGGTGTGAGCCACAGCGCCCAGCCCCCATAGACCTCTTCTAATTTAAATTACCTCCCAAAGGCCCTACCTCCTAATACCATAACATTGTGGATAGGGTTTCAACATATGAGTTTTGGGGGAACAGATACACACCTCAAAATAATAACAGCCATCTATGACTGTGTGGGTACACAGTAGGTGTATATATTTATGGGGTGCATTTGTTATAGACTAAGATATCATATTCCTATTCTAATGGCTGGCTGTATTTTCCAAGGCAATTAACTCAAAAGAATATTATTTAAAGAATCTGGTATATGAGGGCCTCTAGACACCTTGACACGAAACTTCTAAAAACATAATGCAAGATGAAAAACCTTTGAAAGCCTCTTCTCTTCAGAGCTGAACTGAGGAGTCACATCAGGCTAGAAAATGGTTCTGGGACTAAGCCAAGCTTTGAGCTGTCAGAGGAAAGGCTACATTGAAACAGAATTGCATCATCTCTGGGAACTCAGTGTTAACTGGTATAAACCAACATTATTGTTCTTAAATGTTCTCATGAGAAAAGAACATTTAAACTACTAATGTGATTTTCTTCTCCTCACACTCTTTCCTTATCCCAGGGAGGAAAATATTTATCCTTCTTACATAATTTGCTCTTCCTTATGTTGCCAAATGCCTTGTGATAGTATTACACTTGACAGATATCTTATTGAGAAGTTGCCAGCAACCAAAAGATAATTAGCTTAGTCTTCCAAGCATATAAAAAACCAGAGTGGACTATGCACAATAAATTGGAAATAGTGTCTAACTCCTCATATTTCAACGAAATTCACTGGGGTTATGAACAATTCTGCATCTTAAAGAATGCTTTGTGCAATAGAATTTTTTGCTGAAAGGAGATAAGCCCTTATTTATAAGAGGATAGAAGTAGAGAAGGACTACACAGTTGTCTTTGTCAGCTTGGAGTGCCATAACAAAATATGATAGACTGAGTGGCTTGAACAACAACTTTTTATTTCTCGGAGTTTTGCAGACTGGAAGTCTGAGATCAGGGTGCCAGCTGATTTGGTGGCTAGTGAGGGCCCTCTTCCAAGGTTGCTTCTCCTTGTAAAATCATGTGGAGAAAAGAGGGTGAGCTAGCTTTCTTATAAGGGAACTAATTCCACTCCTCAGGGTTCCACCCTCATGATCTAATTAGCTCTCAAAGGCCCCATCTGCAAATACTGTCACACTGGGGATTAGATTTCAACATATGAACTTGGGGGAGACACAAACATTCAGTCCATAGCAACAGGGAATCAACAAACATTTGTGAGATGTCCACTTGGTCAGGCACAGTGCCAAACTCCAAGAATATAAAGAAGGGTGAGACCTAAGGAAATTAACAGTCTCACAAAGAGAGGAGAGGGGATTTTGTACAGCAACTCTTGCAGTGAGCAAAAAGAGATCAGTTTAAAAACAAAACCCATATGATCATCTCAATTGACACAGAAAAAGCATTCAATAAAATCCAAAATCCCTTCATGATAAAAACCCTCAATGAACTGGACATCAAAGGAATACACCTCAAAATAATAACAGCCATCTATGACAAACCCATAGCCAACATCCCATACTGAAGGTTAAAAAGCTGGAACAAGACAAGAATGTCACTTTGGGAGGCTGAGGCAGGCAGATCACTTGGGGTCAGGAGTTCAGTACCATCCTGGCCAACATGGTGACACCTCATCTCTACAGAAAACACAAAAATTAGCAGGCTGTGGTGGTGCGCATCTGTGGTCCCAACTACTCGGGAGGCTGAGGCACAAGAATTGCTTGAGCCTGGGAGGCAGAGGTTGCAGTGAGCCGACATGGCACCACTATACTCCAGACTGGGCAACAGAGTGAGGTTCCATCTCAAAAAAAAAAAAAAAAAAAAAAAAGACAATGTCACTTTCACCACTCGTATTCAACACAGTACTGAAAGTCCTAGCCAGAGCACTCAAGAGACATATAAGTAAAGGGCATCCAAATAGAACAAGAGGAAGTCAAATTATCTCTTTGCTGATAACATTCTATACCTAGAAAACCCTAAAGATTCTGCCAAAAGATTCCTAGACAAGATAAACAACTTCAGCAAAGTCTCAGGATACAAAATCAACACACAAAAAAAGTGGCATTTCTTTTTCTTTCTTTCTTTCTTTCTTTCTTTCTTTCTTTCTTTCTTTCTTTCTGTCTTTCTTTCCTTCGTTCCTTCTTTCTTTCTGACAAGATCTCACTCTGTAGCTCAGGCTGGAGTGCACTGGCATGATCCTAGTTCATTGCAGCCATCTCCTGGGCTCAAGTGATCTTCCAACCTCAGCTTCCTGAGGAGCTAGGACTACCAATTGTATACACCAATAACATTCAATCTGAGAACCAAATCAAGAACGCAATCCCATTTACAATAGTCCAAAAAAATGAAATACCTAGGAATATACCTAACCAAGCAAGAAGGTGAAAGATCTCTACAAAGAGAACTACAAAACACTGCTGAAAGAAATCATAGATGACACAAGCAAATGGAAAAGCATTCCATGTTCATGGGTTGGAAGAAAAAACATCGTTAAAATGTCCATAATGCTGAAAGCCATCTACAGATTCAATGCTATTTCTGCTACATTTCCAACGTCATTTCTTACAGAACTAGAAAAAACTGTGCTGAAATCCATATGGAACCAAAAAAGAGCCCGAACAGCCAAATCAATCCTAAGCAAAAGAACAAAGCTGGAGGCATCATATTACCTGACTTCAAACTGTACGACAAGGCTACAGTAACCAAAACAGCCTGATACTGCTACAAAAATAGATACATAAACAAATGGAACACAATAGAGACCCCTGAAATAAAGCCACACACCTACAACCAATTCACCTTCAAAAAAGTCCACAAAAATAAACAAGGGGAAAGAACATCTTATTCAATGAATGGTGCTGGAAAAACTGACTAACTATATATGCAGAAGAATTAAACTGGACCCCTACCTCTCACCATGTACAAAAATTGACTCAAGCTGGACTACAGATTAAATTTAAAACCTTGAACTATAAAAATTCTAAATTCCTAAAACCTCAAACTATAAAAATAAAAATTCTAGAAGAAAACCTAGGAAATGCTCTTATAGACATTGGCCTAGGCAAATAATTTATGATGAAGACCCCAAAAGCAAATGCAACAAAATCATAAATAGGACTTAATTAAACTGAAGCACTTCTGCACAGCAAAAGAAACTCTCAATAGAGCAAACAGAAAACCTTCAGAATAGGAAAAAGTTTTGCAAACTAGGCATCCAACAAAGGACCAATATCCAGAATCTATAAGGTACTTAGTGGAATCAACAAAAAAAAACCAAACAACTCTTAAACAGTGAGCAAAGGACGTGAACAGACAGTTTTCAAAAGAAGACATAAGCAGCCAACAAGCATATGAAAACCTGCTGAACATCACTAATCATCAGACATGCAAATCAAAACCACAATGAGATATTATCTCATACCAGTCAGAATGGCTATTATTAAAAAGTCAAAAAATAACACGTGCTGGCCATAAAAAAGAATGAGGTCATCTCCTTTGCAGGAACATGGATGAAGCCAGAGGCCATTATCCTTAGCCAACTAACACAGGAACAGAAAACCAAATAGCTCATGTTCTTACTTATAAGCCGGAGCTAAATGATAAGAACACATGGACATACAGAGGGGAACAACACACACTGGGGCCTATCAGAGGGTAGAGGGTGGTAGAAGGGGAAATAACTAATGGGTACTAGGCTTAATACCTGAGTGATGAAATAATCTGTACAACAAATCCCCATGACACAAGTTTACCTATATAACAAACTTGTACATGTACCCTTGAACTTAAAATAAACGTTATTTTTTAAAAAGTATGGGCAGAGATTGCCTGGAACCTGAAACTATTTTTATCGCCATAACTGAAATATTTATAAAAATTAGGGAAGGTTCATTACCATTATTCTTTATTGTTGATATGTACCCCTTTTGAGTAATCTCAAATGACTGCATGCAATATCATTTATTCATTTATTAAATAAATATTCCTTGGCCTGTAAAAGCAGAATAAATATGAACTATCTGCCTTAAAAAAATAAAAAATAACAGATGCTGGTGAAGTTATCAGAAAAGGGAATGTCTATACACTCTTGGTGGGAATGCAAATTAGTTTAGCCTCTACAGGAAGCAGTTTGGAAATTTCTCAAAGAACTAAAAATAGAACTACCAGTTGACTCAGCAATGCTATTACTAGATATATACCCCAAGGAAAATAAATTGTTCCACCAAAAAGATGCATGCACTTGTATGTTCATCACAGCACTGTTTATAATAGCAAAGACATGGAATCAACCTAGGTGCCCATCAAGGGTGGATTGCATAAAGAAAATGTGGTACGTGTACACCATGGGATACTATGCAGGCTTAAAAAAAGAATACATTCATGTCCTTTGCAGCAACATGGATGCAGCTGGCAGCCATTATGCTAAGACAACCAATGGAGAAACAGAAAACCAAATATTGCATGTTCTCACTTATAAGTGGGTGCTAAATCTTGGGTTCACAGGGACATAAAGACAGGAGCAATAGACACTGGGAACTCCAAAAGGAGGGAGGGAGGGAGGGAGGGAAACAAGGGCTAAAAAACTTCCTGGTGAGTATATGTTCACTTTCTGGTATATGTTCACTGTAGAAGCCCAAACCTCAGCACCACGCAACATACCTTTTTAACAAACCTGCATGTATATGACACGGTGAAATCCCATCTCTACTAAAAATATAAAAACTAGCTGGGCATGGTGGTGGGTGCCTGTAATCCCAGCTACTAGGGAGGCTGAGGCAGGAGAATTGCTTGAACCCAGGAGACGGAGGTTGCAGTGAGCCGACACGGGGCCACTGCACTCCAGCCTTGGCGACAGAGTGAGACTCCGTCTCGAAAAATAAAAATAAAAAAAGTGAAAATTTTTAAAATAAAAATTTTAAAAAGAGATGAGTGTGTGTGTGTATTATATACATATATATGTATATAATATTAATTCCCAATGTTGTCCAGGACTAACAGCCTCAGCATCAGCTGGGAACTTGTTAGAACGGCAAATTCTCAGTCCCTACCCTATACCTACTAAATCAGAAACTCTGAGAGTGGAGCCCAGCACTAACCCCCAGGTGATTCTGATGCATGTTAATGTTTGGAAACTACTGATTTAGCAAAACACTTCTTCCTTTAGCATATGTAGAGAGAAGCAGGGTAAGAGGGAAATGATGGACAGGTGTCTGGAATCAGGAGGGAGTGGTGTAAGTTGCACTAGAACACACTGGTTGGAAGAAAAGGAAAGAAAGCAGCTCACTTTAGACCATACATAAGGGAGGATGATACTACTCAAAGGCAAAGAACTTGTGTCACTCTTTCATTCTGAAGGTACAATGGCAACTTCCAAAAGCAACCAACTCAAAGACAATCTGTAGTCTTCTGTTGTGGATATAGGATGACTTTATGCTCTTCCAAAACTCAAACTGTGACATAATTGAAAAATATGGTTATTAGGCACCTGCTTGTTCATCACTGTGAATTTAAGGACATTTATAGAGGACACATCTGAGCATATGGTCTGCCTCTTCCTCATTGTAAGTTGTTGGCAACATAGCTGCTCACAGCTTGGTATGCTGTGTTAGCACTAGCATAAGAATTTAAGGAATGCCATTCTGTGCCAGCTAGTCCATCTGAGATTCCTGGCTAAGATAGACCCCCAAGGGGAACTTTGTGAAGAAGGCAGAATTCTTTAAAACTTAAAATTGTAAGTTAGTGATGTACTCAAACACCCCCAAAACCTCCCTAATCTGAGTCTATTTTGAATAAATGACCTAAATCTTCAGCCAATTTATACTTTGTCTTCACTTCTTCTTAAGGTGGCGATTTCTCTCGGTTGACTTTCTATGCAAAATAGGACAATTTCTCTTCCTACTAACTTTAATTATTTTGGTTTTGACCTTCAAAGAAGGGTCCCAGTTCTAATACACAAGATTTGATAAACAAGACCTGTTCGAACTATCCTTACTTGATTTTATAAATTTTGGTCATGTCTCCACGGCCTTTCACTTTATAGACTAGAAAATGTTTTAGTTTTCTCCTGAAAAGAATCCATTTGGGCCAGGTGTGGTGGCTCTGGCTGGGCTTGGTGGCTCACACCTGTAATCCCAGCACTTCGGGAGGCCAAGGCGGGCAGATCACTTGAGGCCAGGAGATCGAGACCAGCCTGACCAACATGGTGAAACCCCGTCTCTACTAAAAATACAAAAATTGGCTGGGTGTGGTGGCATATGCCTGTAATCCCAGCTACTCAGGAGGCTGAGACATGAGAATGGCTTCAACTGGGGAGGCGGAGGGTAAAGTGAGCTGAGATTGCGCTACTGCACTCTAGCCTGGGTGACACAGCGAGACTTTGTCACAAAAGAAAAAAAGAATTCATTTGAAGAAAAGATTAGACTTGAATCCAGATTACCTGGACTTGAATTTCAGCCTTCTCACTTACTAGCTAAATGAATTTGAGGAAATTAATCTCTGAATCAGTATCTTCATCTATAAGTGGCAATACCAACAAGTATTTCACTTGACAATTATGAAGATGAAATAAGATAATACATATATTAGCCAGGGCACAGATTAAGCTGCTATAACAAAGAACACCTAAAATAGAGGGGTTTAAATAAGATAGAAATATATTTCTTATGTAATATTCCAGAGATAATGGACAATTCAGGACTTACAGCTTCCTCTACATTCTCAATCTGTAGCTTTCATTTGTGGATAGGTTGACTTCCAACCAGCAGCATAGAGGAAAGAGACAGTGGTGGCAAGAGCTTCCTTTTAAAGACATAACCCAGGAACCACAAACATCCTGCTGCTTATGTACCATTGGCCAGAATGTGGTCATGTGGCCATATCTAGCAACAAGAGAAATTTAGTCTCTATCTGGATGGCCATATGCTCAGTTAAAGTTATGGAAGATGTGGTCTATTACTAAAAGGAAGAAGGAGAGAATGGACATTGTGGGGGTCGTGAGCAATTTATGTTAGCTACTCTCTCACTATTACATAAATTTCCATTATGGGTTTAAAAAAACTTGACATTTTATTTCTGATCCCCTTCTTACAGACAAAAAAGTCCATATAGCCAGCACCTTCAAGAAGCAGAAGATGAGTTTCTGAAGACAGAAGACCATGTCTCATTCATCTGAACATCTCCAGAACCTAACACAGAATTATTCTTAAAAAATATTTGTCAAAGTGAATTACAGTCATTCCTAGAGCCCTTAACTGGGTTAAACCCCTTTAGTGACATGTGGATTATAGACTTTCCAAATTTTAAGGAACTGTACTATACCATATAAATAGCACCATTGGCCATGCTTACCATATGATCCAATAGGTTGCACAGTGAAGCTCTGTAGTATGCTCTTGCTATGTGATTTTTTTTAATTTTACTTTAAGTTCCAGAATACAAGTGCAGAACATGCAGGTTTGTTACATAGGTATACATGTGCCATAGTGGTTTGCTGCACCTATCAACACATCATTCTAGGTTTTAAGCCCCACATGTATTAGCTATTTGTCCTAATGCTCTCCCTCCCCTTGCCCCTCACCCCCCGCCACTGGCCCCTGTATGTGCTGTTCCCCTCCCTGTGTCCATGTGTTCTCATTGTTCAACTCCCACTTATGAGAACATGCAGTGTTTGGTTGCTACGTGGTATTTTTGAGGAGAAAATAGTAATATATTTTTTAAAACGGACTCTAAAAGCAGGGTTATGTACTCTCAAGCTGAAGATTTAAATCACACACGAAGTCATTAATTTTTAAAAATGCTTTTCATCCATTTTCTTGGCAGTCAGAGAAAACCTACTGCAGAAGCAGCCATTGGGAACCATTGCCTGGCCTATGCAGCTATGTAGCAATATTTTGTGAGCTATCTTTCTTTATAACTTGTCCCAGAATAGACCTGTTTTGCCTGAGACTGGGCAAACCAACTGAAAGGATTCAAAGTCTCTCAAATCCCAGATATTATATGTTATTTGTGGTTGCACGAGGTGTGCAGTCTGGGAAATTTTGACTTAATTAGAAACAGGAAGAAAACCTAGCTGGGGACTGGAAAGGAATTTTCCATTATTGGGCATCTATTCTGTGTCCAGCATTGTGCTGGGGGACATTCAAGCATGTTATTTAATTTAATTCTGATATAAACCTTAAATGAGACAAACATTGTTACAGGAAATTTTTTAGGAACAAAGAAGTTAAATGACATACAAGATCACTGCTGCACATTGGGTTTCTTGGAAGCAGACTTTGAGATGGAGATTTGTGATCAGAAAATTTGTTAGGGAATATTCTCAGGCTCAGCATCTGGAGGGGAAGAGCAAGAGGCAGGACAGGCAGAGGGAGAAGCTGGGCTTCAGTGTGGTTCCAATAAGGCCTCAGCTTATCTGATAGAGAGCCCTAGAGCTGTCATGACCCTTAAGAGATGTTCTGAGTTGGGATGAGGGGACTGGAATTTTACGCTCTCATGTCAGCCAGTTGGATGAAGTCTGAAGCAATTGTAGCACCTGGGGGGAAGTAAGTTCTTCAGTCCTGAATAGAGATCAGAGCAACATATCACAGAGTCTGCTATAGTCAACCAGCCTGGAAGTAACAAAGCTAGCATATGAATACAGCTTTGACTTCAAAGCTCATGCACTTTTCCACTCACTTGAGTCAATAGGCAATCAGCCAGTTAAGTACCCATACATTTTACCATTTTAGAAAAGGGCAAATAATTAATAATAATAATAATTTGCATCCTGGTTTTGGAAATATGGCCTTGGTGTCTTGACATCATGAAAATTCTCCAAATTTTATATAGATAATTCAACCTTGGATCTATTATCATCTTTTATGATAAACACCTTTTTTAAAATTATTCACAAAAATTTCCTTACTTCTTAAACTAGGTTCAACTAAAACAATATGCTGAAGACTTAAAACATACTGAATCTAAGTTGATTCATTATATAACTTCCAAATGTTTCATCTTAGAATTCAGGAATAATTTAATAGCATAACTTGTGCCAGATGTGTGGCATTCATTTTTAAATATTTTTGATTCACCTAAGACCTAATAGCTAAGGACAGATATTGGTTTAGAACTCCCAGGAGAAAAAATGCACAGGAACTCAGAAAGCCTTAATGAAATGCATGTGCTCCTCATCTTGATATGGAAATCCAAAAAGTGTAGCTAAAATCTATCAGCCATGTTCTTCAACTTGTACGTTGTCATGATTGAGCTGATGTAAAACCCATGGCAGATAAAGCATTCATCCATTCAACAAACATGTAACAGAGGACCTATGGTATGCAAGGATCAGTGTTTAGTACTCTAAGCATCCTACCCATGACTTCACTCTTCCAAGAAATTTGGTCTGCTTTCCAGCTGCATCATAACAGCATCTTTTTCCTGCCTTGTTTTAAAGCAAGCAATCATTCTATGTAACAAGTAAAACCAAATATCCTCGTCAACTGCCTTCACATGCAAATTTTCCTCAGCTTATGATGGGGTTACAGCCTGATAAATCCTTCATAAGTTGAAAATACCGTAAGTTGAAAATATATTTAATATGTCTAACCTGCTGAACATGATAGCTTAGCCTAGCCTATGTTAAATGTTATCAGAACACTCCCATTAGCTTACAGTTGGGCAAAATCATCTAACACAAAGCCTATTTCATGATAAAGTGTTGAATATATCATGTAATTTATTGAATACTGTACTGAAAGTGAAAAACAGAATGCTTGTGTAGGCACGTGAAATACAGTTTCTACTGAATGCATATTGCTTTCAGCACCATGGTAAAGTAAAAAAATCATAAATCAAGGGCCCTCTGTATATGTACAATTATTATAGATTTGGATGGTATAAAATTTTGCAATTTGTGTTTAGGAAAATCAAAAGTACTGGCATTTTTGTTCTTTCTCCCTTTCAAGCTAGTATGAGAAAAAAAGCAAGTAATGTATTCCAAAGTGTACACTGAAAAAGACTGAGATTATTTAAGGACATCTGAAAAGATTTTTCACTTACATATGGCATTATATCATAATTTAGGTCTGCCCTCTACCACATTATTGCTGCCCCAGGCACTGAAATGTTTTCTTTCCTGTAGTGCAGTGGTTCTCATAGTGTGGTTCCCAGACCAGCAGGTATCAATGTCACCTGAAAACTTATTAGAAATGCAAATTATTGGATCCCTCCCCAGATCTACTAAATCAGAAACTCTGGGGGTGGGGCTCAGCAATACGTGTGTTAATAAGTTGTGCATAATTTTCATGCATGCTAAAGTTTCAGAACCATGGTTTTAAGGTTATATATTAAATCATGTTTTTCAATTTCCATTCAATAAATGTTTATTTGGGGTCATGTAATAAGTGCTACACATTATTCAACCTTTGCCAATGGCACTCATGCATCATATACAGTTTTTAAAATATATTTATGTCCATTTTTAGCATGATATTACATATCATGTATGCTGGGCACAATCGTGTTTTCTCAAGCTCACCAGGTGATTTTGATGCACTCTCAAGCTTGAGAAGTACACTGTAACTCATTATCCATTAGTCCTGGCCAAAACAGAAACCTGGTATAAGCCACAGCAATAAGTAGGAATGTTGTACTCATCTTTAAAGACAAGAGGCAAACAAAGATCTAAGAATTCTTGGCAGCACAGAGCATCTTGCTGCATTTTCAGGCAATGAAGTCTATCAGCTAAAGTAGTGGATTCTGCATAAGAACACATGGGTTTGAGTCTTGGTTCTTTGACCTCCTGGCTGTAACTTCTTAGGAGGTCATTTAATCTTCATCATAATTTGTTTCCTCATCTATGAAAATAGGACTTTGCCTTGGAGATCTCTATGGTGACTTTCAGCTCTAAGTTCTGTGATTCCAAGCATCTCAATCAATATGTATATTATTATCATTTTGGAGACGACCATATTACCATTTGTTTCCACTTCATGCTACTACTTAAAAGCATATCAAAAATCTCTTATAACTCAATAAGAGAAAGGGCAATTAAAAAATGAGTAAAAGATCTGAGTAGACATTTATCCAAATAAGATAATATACAAATGGAAAATAACCATATGAAAAGATGCTCAACAGACAGACAGAGAAGAAGGATGGTTACCAGAGCCTGGGAACGGTACTGGGGGCTAGAGGAGAGCTAGCGATGATTAATGGGTACAAAAAAGAGTTAGAAAGAATGAATAAGGTCTACTATTTGATAAGCACAATAAAGTGACTATGGTCAGCAATAACAATTGTACATTTTAAAAATAATGAATGTAACTGGATTGTTTGTAACTCGAAGGATAAATACTTGAGGGGATGGATACTCCATTCTTCATGACATGCTTATTTCACATTGCATGCCTGTATCAAAACATCTCATGTACCCCATAAATATATACACCCACTATGTACCCACAAAAAAATTTAAAAATTAAAAAAAAATTTTAAAGATGCTCAACATTATTATCATCAGATAAATGCCATTCAAAACCACAACGAGATACCACTTCATACCCCTTAGAATGACTAAAATAAAAAAGACTGACAATAACACGTGTTGTGGAGGATGTGGGAAGAACTCAGAATCCCAATACATAGCTAGTGGGATTGTAAAATTATGCAGCTGCTTAGAAAACAGTTTAGCAATTCCTCAGTTAAACATAGACGTTCTACATAACCCAACAGTTCTACTTCTAGATGTATACCCAAGAGAATTGAAAACATTAAGTTAAAAAAGTTCTACACAAATGTTCATAGCAACACTATTCACAGCAGCTAAAACGTGGAAACAATACAAACATCTATCAATGATGAATGGGTAAATAAAATGTGGTCTTACCCATACAATAGAACATTCTTCAATAATAAAAAGAATGATATATGAATACACATTACAATATGGATGAACCTCCAAAATGTACTAATTGAGAGAAGACAGTCACAAAAACTACATATTTTATGATTCCATATTTATGAAGTGTCCAGAAGAGGCAAATCCATAGACACAGAAAGTAGTTTCCTGGTTACCTAGGGCTGGAAACACTTTGGGGAAGTGGAGGAGGGGTGTGATTGCTAAAGGGTATAGGTTTCTTTTGAGATGCTGAAAATATTCTGAAATTAATTGTGGTGACAGTCGCACAATTTTGCAAATATACTGAAAATCATTAAATTATGCTAAAAATGGGTGAGCTGTATGGTATGTAAATTAGATCTCAATAAAGCTGTTACAAAGAAACAACAGTATATCTGAACTTTCTCCCCTGCACCACCTCTCCTCTCATCATATCCAGTGACAATCAATGAGATACTGAACTAATGCCTTGACAACTATAGTAGTCTGGAATGATAGTGCCATCCTACTGTATCTCATTCATTATTTTAATACTCAAGCAATTTGGATGCAGTATAGACGGCCAACACATAATTCTATGTTGCTGTTATTCAAACCCAAACTCCTAACAGAAGACATTTCTAGGTCTTATTCGCTCTTCTTTTTTTTTTTTAGACAGAGTCTCACTCTGTCACCCAGGCTGGAGTGCAGTGGCGCGATCTCAGCTCACTGTAACCTCTACCTCCCAGGTTCAAGCGATTCCCGTGCCTCAGCCTCCCAAGAAGCTGGGATTACAGGCATGTGCCACCACTCCTGGCTAATTTTTGTATTTTTGGTAGAGACGAGGTTTCACTGAGTCACCCAAGCTGGTCTCAAAATCCTGAGTTCGAGTGATCCGCCCACCTTGGCCTCCCAGGCAAGAGCCACTGTGCCTGGCTTTTTTTTTTTTTTTTTTTTCTTACTCATTAACCACTCCCACCTCTCTCCCACCCCCCACTACCCTTCCCAGCCTCTGGTAACCATCCTTCTATTCTCGATCTCCATGAGTTCAATTGTTTTGATTTTTAGATCCCACAAATAAGTGAGACACAACAGGGGGCCTATAGTCAATAATATTTTAATTGCACCTTTTAAAATAACTAAAGGAGTGTAATTAGATTGTTTGTAGCACAAAGGATAAATGCTTGAGGGAATAGATACCTAATTTTTTCATGATGTGGTTATTACGCATTGCATGTCTGTACCAAAATATCTCATGTACCCCATAAATATATATACCTATGTAATCACAAAAATTAAAAATAAAAAAATACATATTCTAGAAAGACATTTACTAAGATGAATGCTAGAAGCTGGCTTTTTAAAAATTTTTATACTGGAAGTGACCATTGTCAGTTAATGGCACATGATGAATTGGGCATAAACAGGACATCCACAGAATGAGCAAACATTTTTCAATTCTTTCTTTAATCCTTGAATTCATTCAGTGTGAATTTTTAAACTGAATATGAGGGTTTGCAAAAGGAAACTTTATCCTTTCTGAAGCTCACTAATTTTTAAGTTCACACACATAAAAATGATGCTTTGAAAACCTTCGCTAAATTATGCACATGAAAATAAACAACAATCTAGGAAGCAAATTTCTCAAAGTCTACAATGATGAGGCTAATCACAATCATAAATTGAGCCTTATAGAGCACGCCAAATGTCTGCAGCAATTACACCTACCTGTTTCATTTGCCCGAGCTTCAGGTAGGCCAAAAGACATTCACTGTGAAAGTCACCATGACTGATTTTTCTTTAATCAAATCAGAAATGTAAATTTCCTTTTCTAATAACACAGGGCCAGAGGAGATGATTTTCATTATAGAAAGGGCTGTGGATGCATGAGGACATTCTAGAAATCTGGGCCAAATAGTATTTTTAGACATCAAGAGCTAGTGAGAATTTGTGTTACTTAACTGCATTTTACAGTAAAACAAAATCTATAAGATGTCAGAGCATAAATAGTTGATTCCTGATATTTTATTATGGCCTATGCTATCGGACCGACCAGAAATCACACATTTAGAGACTGCCCTTTGTATAAATGTAAACACTTGAAGGGATGAGGGACTGCATTAAGAAGCTGAAAATTATAGACTCTATCCACATACACTCAAAAGGTAAGCAACCATAAATTTTTGCATATAATTTCACAAACATACCCCAAGAGTGTTCTATAGATACCAGATTAAGAATCCATGAAAATGTTAAAAAAAAAAAGAAAAGAAAAGAAAAGAAAGAATCAGTGATATCATGAACATACCCATGGCTACATTGAAAACTATCTGACAACACCAAATGTTGGCAAGGATATGGAATCCCTCATACACTTTCGGAAACTGGCAGTTTCTTTAAAAGTTAAATGTGCATCATCTACACTATGACCCAGCAATTCCAGTCCTATGTATTTTTCTAGAAGAAAGGAAAACAGAAGCTTTTACAATGACTTGCATAAGACTGTTCTTAGTTTTTTTCTTGATAGTTAAAAACTAGAAATAATACAAATGGTCATCAACAGTACTATGGATAAAGAAATTATGGCATATTTATACAATGGAATCTTCAAAAAAAATTCTAATGTTACTTATATCCACAACAATATGATTAAATTTCCAAAACATGCTGAATGAAAGAAGCTAAACACAAGAGAATACAAATTTCTAGAACAGACCAAACTAATACAAAGCAATAGTAACCAGATCAATGGTTATTTCTGAAGGGAGCGATGGTCTAGAAGGGCACAGGGAACTTTCTCAGGTGACAGAGATCTTCAATATCTTGATAGTGATATGGGTTACACAGGTATACGCATTTGTCAAAAGTGATTGAACTGTTTACTTAAGACTTGTACATTTCACTTTATGAGGAATAAACCTCAATAAAAATATGTTTTAGAAAACATGAATTGGAGATCTGTAAGTATCAGTATAAGTGAGAGAATTCATACTTTTACTACATGTTTAGGCATTGTTAGTAAAAGCACTGGACGATATGGAAAGTTGTTTTTTTAATCATGGGGACATTCTATTTGAATGTATAGCTGTAGACAGAAAAGATGACACCTCTGACAGAAATATAATTTTGTACTTTTGTACAATTTATTTGGCATTTTCCTACATCTCTCATTTGATTTTCATGTCAACTCAGGCATTATAATCACACCCGCCACCCTACTGCTGCCATTGTGCAGATGAAGATACTGAGGTTCCGAAAGGTTGAAGGTTGTACCCAAGGTCACACAGTCCATTTGTGGCAAAGCTGAGACCAGAACCCTTATTTTTTAAAGAAAGTTAAGTGTTCACTTTACTCTTATTCTTTTGGAGAAGGAAAACTTACAATAGCCAGAGAAACATATGATTTAGACTCCAGAAATACAAATATTATTTAGTGAATTAAAACTCCAATGTGTCTGATACACACTGTAAAGCGCCTCTAGAGCCCCTTTTAATTTGGGCTCAAGAATACTTTGTTCACTGAAAAAGCATGGCTGGCCATGTTAAAAACTCTGAGTTAGTTTGGGTTTCTCTGTTACTCAGTATCAAGATTTACTAAGAATGGTAAGGACACAGTAATTAAGAGGCTGTGATGGTTAACTTTATGAGTCAACTTGACTGAGTCACAGGGTGCCCAGACATTTGGCCAAGCATTATTCTAGGGGTGTCTGTGAAGGTGTTTCTGGATGAGGTTAACGTTTAAATCAGTAGACTAAATAAAGCAGATTGCTCTTCCTAATGTGGCTGGGCCTCCACAAGTCAGTGGAAAGCCTGAATAGAACAAAAGGCTGACCCTCCTCTGAATAAGAAGGAATTCCTCTGGCCTGACTGCCTTGAACTGGGACATCAGGTCTTTCTTGTCTTCAAACTCTGAAACATTGGCTCTTTCTGGATCCCAAGCCTGCTAGCATTTGGACTGGAACTACCCCATTGGCCCTCCTGTATTTCCAGCTTGTTGACTGCAAATCTTGGGACTTGTCATTGCCCGCCTCCATAATGGCATGAGACAGTTCTTAAAATAAATCTGTATGTAAGTCTCTTCATTGGTTCTGTTTCTCTGGAGAACCTTGACTAATCAAGAGTCCCAGGTGAAGCAGGGAGAGACCCAGTACATGGAGTGTGGTTCCCAGGTCATCCTCTCTGGGACAGACATGCATTCTCTGGCCCAGAGCAATGACAGGGTCTCTAAAGAGATTGGTAGATTACTTGATACAGTAGGGAGACTTGGGGTTATAAATCATCTCCATTTTATGCCCAGATCATTATAAGATTTAAACGAAATTGTCCAGGAAGCCAGGCCTTATAAATCCATAGATTCTACTTTAGTTTTCCATAAGCAATTCTAATCCAGGGTCATTCCTGCTAAAATGGACTCTCCTCCTAGCAAATCTCATTAGTTTATTTTCCAGAAGGTCAATTATAAGCATGTTTATAAGAAGATTACATTCAGCCATTTGCTTTCTTTGCTCCCAGGAGTATCCTCCTGGTACAAGGAGAGAAAAGCATCACAAGCCAGCTGCTTAATTCACTGCTTCCCCAGGATTGAAATCCAAGTGATACACCACAGACCACAGTCTAACTCCACCACATGCTAGTTCTCAGAATCTCAAACCATTGGTGGCTCCTCATGAGGAAACTGGCAAGCCCCTCAGAGAAGAGCCATCCCAAGGGTGAGGTAATTTGGGCCACAATGCTGGGAAAGAATTTAGGAAAGAACATTGGTGGGGGAGGAGGGGAGCTTGTGCTACATAAACAAAGAAATGAAATAGTAGAGTCCATTTATTGAAGGCTCACTAACATAAACTTAGAAGGGAATGTTACCTTTGTTTTACTCTTGTAGATCTGAGGCCCAGGGAGGTTGAGTAACTTGCTCAAGGTTCCACAATGAGTAAAAGGCAAAGCCAAGAGTTAAACCCAAAATAGTCTGAGGCCCAATCTCAACTCCAAACTGCCCGTTGCCCCTTTTTATACTACACTTTATGATGCTGGACCTGGAACTTTGCAAGCTGCATTTTGGTTTCCCAGCTGTTGGACTCTACCAGTGGGGACACTGGAGGAAGATAGCAAGGCTGGTGGAAGGAGAAAGGATGTGCTTTTGCCTGTTTGCCTCTTCTTCCTGTTAGTGTCACCCAGCAATGTCTCTTCACCCCAGCATTAGCAGCTTCTTTCTATAGCAGCAGCAGAATCCAATTTGCAGTCTCTCTGACACTTGAGAAACTACCTCATTGCCCCTTCAGAGACACCAGCACCAGCCAGCCTGGGCCTCCTCGTCAGGGGTGTGGGTCTCAGGCCCCAAGACCAGACTCTGAGTTTCTAAGTTTTAATTATTCTAACCTCTCCCCTCTGTTCCCCAACCTTCATGAAGGTAGCTGCATCCCGCAGTAGCTACATCCCTGACTCCTCTGTGTTCTCTTTTGTGCTTTTTCAATTACATAGTTCACAGTAGTTGAAGTGACTGGTGTGGTGTCTGTCTTCTGACCCTGACTGATACCTGTCTTCCTCTCCCATCCATTTTTGCTCTCTACTCCCAACCCACATTCTTCAAAACAAAGCAAGTGGGACCATTCCTCTCCTTTACACATGTCCTTCTCAGGGAAACTTGAATTTTATTTGGGGTGTGGAGTCTTAGGAAGGAAACTGAAGTTTATTGAGCTAGTGCTCTCTGGGCCTCTTTGGTCAAGCTCAAGACTTTGAGTATTCTTAGTTTGATATGTATTTTCACCAGCTTTATTGAGATATAATTCATGGAAAATAAACTGCATCTCTTCAAAAGGTACAGTTTAATGCATTTTGACATGTATACACCTGGGAAACAACTGAGGCAATCAAAATACAGAGCATTTTTATCACCCCCCGACATACAATTCTCTCAAGCCTTTTTTCAGTTCCCCCCTCCCTCCTCCTTGGACCCCAGGCAACCAGTCACTGATCTGCTTCCTGTCACTATAAATTACTTGACATTTTCTTAACTTTACGTAAATGGAATCATATAGTGTGTCATCTTTTATGTCTGGCTTTTTTCACTTAGCATAATGATTTTGTGATTCATTTATGCTGCCACATTTTCAAAGTTTAGTCCTTTTTCTTGCTAAGTAATAGTTCTTTGTACAGATGTACAATAGTTTGCTTATCCATTCACTTGCTGACTCACATTTGGGTAATTTCTAGTTTGGGGTTATTATGGCTAGAGGCTGAATACTTATGTATAAATCTTTGGATAGTAAATACCATCCAAAGACAAGTTATTTTTAAGTTTAGGTGTAACATACATACAGTAAATTATGTTTAAAAAAAAGTATGTAGATTGACAATTTCTCACACTCATATATCCCTGTGTAACACCACCCAGATTAAGACTTAAAACATTTTCAGTATCAAAAAAGGCCCCTCTGTGCCCCATTCTAGACAGCAGAGGTCACCACTATTCTGACATCTGTCTGCATTGATTACTTTTGCCTTTTTCGAACATCATATAATGGATTATAGAGTATGTGTGCACACTGTTGTGTCGGGTTTCTCTTGATCAACGTATGTCTATGAGATTCATTAGTGTTGTTATACATAGGTATAGCTTATTCTTATTGCAGTGTGGTGTTATATTGTGTGGATATACCACATTTATTTATCCATTCTGTTGATAGATATAAGGATTATTTCCAATTTTTTCTGCTATAAATATAGCTACTGTGGACATTCTTGTACATGTCTTTAGTGAACATATGTTCTCATTTTTTTCAAACTAGGGATGGGATTGTTGGGTCATAGGATAGACTTATGCTTAGCTTTCCAAAGTGGTTGTATCAATTTATACACCTACCACCAATGTAAGACAGTTTCAGTGACTCCGTGTCTTTGCCAATACTTGGTATTGAAGGTTTTTTAATTTTAGTCATTCTAGTGGATGTGTAGTGGGATCTCATTACATTTCCCTGACAAAAAAAAATATGTTGAGAGCATTTTCATGTACTTATTGGCCTTCTGGATATATTCTTTTGTGAAGTGTCTGTTCAAGGTTTGTTCATTTTTAATTGAGTTGCGTTCTTTATTATTGATTTGTAGGATATTTTACATATTCTGGATATAAACCCTTTGTTAGATATATGTATGGCAAATATATTTTCCTAGTCTGTGGCATGCATTTTCAATTTCTTTAATGTTTTTTAGTGATCAGAATTTCTAATTTTAATGAAGCCTAATTTATCAACCTTTGCTTTTATGACCTCTTTATAAAATCTTTGCCTATCCTAAGGTCTCTTAACATTCATTTAAGATGATTTTCTCATGTGAAATTTCAGGGATTCAAGGGCCAAGTTTCACATATTATATGAGCCACACTGGGCAGCCCTGATGTTCATATATAGGGGGAGGGAGCTTCTCACAAAATAAAGAGAAAAGAGAGCAGTTTGGGGCAAGAGGATAGAGACAAAGCTCAAGAGAGAAGGAAAGGATAAGAAGGGAGGTGGGAAAAATGGAAAGACAAAATGGACACAAGCAAAGAGGAAAATAGGAAGAGCATGAAGAAGAGAAGGGGTGCCTTCGCAGCCTGAGCAATACATGCCTCCTTCTCAGAAATCTGGGCACTCTGGCAAGATCAGAAGTCCCTTTCTCAGCCCTCTCAACCTTCCTGTTCTTCTCTGCACTCTGGCCAGTGAGCACCTGCCCTTGAAAAACATATTTTTAGAACATTGACTGATATTGTTATAAGAAATATTTATTTCTTGAGGATGTGCTAAGACATCATTATATTAATATGTGCTTCATGACACATCCAAGCTATGGTCAAGATCCAGAAATTAACCTGGACAAAATGTATAGTATTGATAAATGTGGGCTTTGGAGTCACATAAACATAGAAGCCATTGCTTACCTGCTCCTGTACTTGGGCAAGTTACACAACTCCTCTGAGTCTATGTTTCTTCATCTATTAAATAACTTTATTTTTTATTCATTCATTCAACATATATTTATTGAGAACTTGTTATGTATGAGGGACTGTTTTAAGCACTATGAATTAGTATATAAAGCTTATGAAATTATTTACTCTCAAAGGCCACACACACAGGAAGAGAGGATGTCAAACTATCCTTGTTTGCAGAAGACATGATCCTACCTCTAGAAAACCCCACAGTTGCAGCCCAGAAACTTCTTAAGCTGATAAGCAATGTCAGCAGTCTCAGGATACAAAATCAATGTGCAAAAATCACTAGCAGTCCTAATATACCAACAACACTCAAGCTGGGAACCAAATCAGGAATGAATTCCCATTCAAAATTGTCACAAAAAGAATAAAATAGCTAGGAATACAGCTAACTACAGAGGTGAAAGATCTCTAAAAGGAGAACTATAAAACACTGATCAAAGGAATGAGAGATGATACATGAATGGAAAAACATTCCATGCTCATGGGTAGAAAGAATCAATATTGTGAAAATGACCATACTGCCCCAAACAATTTATAGATTCAATGCTATTCCTATTTAACTACCATTGATATTCTTCACAGAACTAGAAAAAAACTATTTTAAAATGCATATGGAACCAAAAAAGAGCTCAAATAGCCAAGGCAATTCTGAGCAAAAAGAATAAAGCTGAAGGCATCACGCTACCCTACTTCAAACTATACTACAAGGCTACAGTAACCAAAATAGCATGGTATTGGTACAAAAATAGACACATAGACTAATGGAATAGCATACATAACCCAGAAATAAGACTGCACACCTACAATGATCTGAATCTTCAACAAACCTGACAAAAACAAGCAATAGGGAAAGGATTCCCTATTCAATAAATAGCGCTGGGATAACCTGCTAGTAATATGCAAATATGATTGAAACCGGACCCCCTCCTTACACCACACACAAAAATTAACTCAAGATAGATGAAAGACTTAAACATAAAATGCAAAACTTTAAAAACCCTGGAAGACAACCTAGGCAATACCATTCAAGACATAGGCATAGTCAAAGATTTCATGACTAAGATGCCAAAAGCAATTGCAAGAAAAGCAAAAATTGACAATGGGATATAATTAAACTAAAGAGTTTCTGCACAGCAAAAGAAACTACAACAACGTGAACAGACAACCTACATAATGAAAGAAAATTTTTGCAAACTATAGATTTGACAAACGTCTAATATCCAGGATCTATAAGGAACTTAAACAAATATACAGGAAAAAAAAAAACACAAACAACCCCATTAAAAAGTGGAGAAAGGACATGAACAGACACTTTTCAAAAGAAGACATACATGTGGTCAATAATCATATGAAAAAAAGCTCAATATCACTGATCATTAGAGAAATGCAAATCAAAACCACAATGAGGCCAGGCACAGTGGCTCATGCCTGTAATCCCAGCACTTTGGGAGGCCAAGGTGGGCAGATCACCTGAAGTCAGGAGTTCAAGACCAGCCTAACCAACATGGCAAAACCCCGTCTCTACTAAAAATACAAAAATTGGACTACTCTCTGTAGTCCCAGCTACTCTGGAGGCTGAGGCAGGAGAATCACTTGAACCTGGGAAGTGAAGGTTGCAGTGAGCCATCATGGTGCCACTGCACAGTCTGGGCAACAGAGTGAGACTCCATCTCAGGAAAAAAAAAAAAACAAAAAAACACCACAATGAGATACCTTCTCACACCCGTCAGAATGGCTATTAATAAAAAGTCAAAAAACAACATGCTGATGAGGTTGTGGAGAAAAAGGAACACTTATACACTGTTGGTGGGAGTGTAAATTAGTTTAACCACTGTGGAAGACAGTGTGGTGATTTCTCAAAGATCTAAAAACAGAAATACCATTTGAACCAGCAATCCCATTACTGATATATACACAAAGGAATATAAATCATTCTATTATAAAGACACATGCATGCATATGTTCATTGCAGCACTATGCACAATAGCAAAGACATGGAATCAACCTAAATGCCCATCAATGACAGACTGGATAAAGAAAATGTGGTACATATACACCATGGAATACTATGCAGCCATAAAAAGAATGAGATCATGTTCTTTGCAGGGACATGGGTGGAGCTGGAGGCTATTATCCTTAACAAACTAATGGAGGAACAGAAAACCAAATACCACATGTTCTCACTTGTAAATGGGAACTAAATGCTGAGAACACACAGACATATAAAGCAGAACAATATACACTGGGGCCTATCAGAGGACGAGGTTGGGAGGAGGAGGAAGATCAGGAAAAACAACTCTTAGGTACTAAACTTAATACTTGGGTGATGAAATAATCTGTACAAAAAATATCCCCATGACACAAGTTTACCTATGCAACTAACCTGCATATATATCCCTGAACTTAAAATAAAAGTTAAAAAAAAGAAAGAAATATTTACTCTCATGAAGCTTACCTTCTAACAGGGAGCAGACAATAAATAAGACAAAACAGTATGCTGGGAGGAGCCAAGATGGCCGAATAGGAAAAGCTCCGGTCTACAGCTCCCAGCGTGAGCGACGCAGAAGACAGTGATTTCCGCATTTCCATCTGAGGTACCAGGTTCATCTCACTAGGGAGTGCCTGACAGTGGGCGCAGGTCAGTGGGTGCACGCACCGTGCACGAGCCGAAGCAGGGCGAGGCATTGCCTCACTTGGGAAGCGCAAGGGGTCAGGGAGTTCCCTTTCCCAGTGAAAGAAAGGGGTGACAGAGGGCACCTGGAAAATCGGGTCACTCCCACCCGAATACTGCGCTTTTCCGACGGGCTTAAAAAACGGCGCACCACGAGATTATATCCCACACCTGGCTTGGAGGGTCCTACGCCCACGGAGTCTCGCTGATTGCTAGCACAGCAGTCTGAGATCAAACTGCAAGGCGGCAGAGAGGCTGGGGGAGGGGCACCCGCCATTGCCCAGGCTTGATTAGGTAAACAAAGCAGCCTGGAAGCTCGAACTGGGCAGAGCCCACCACAGCTCAAGGAGGCCTGCCTGCCTCTATAGGCTCCACCTCTGGGGGCAGGGCACAGACAAACAAAAAGACAGCAGTAACTTCTGCAGACTTAAATGTCCCTGTCTGACAGCTTTGAAGAGAGCAGTGGTTCTCCCAGCACGCAGCTGGAGATCTGAGAACGGGCAGACTGCCTCCTCAAGTGGGTCCCTGACCCCTGACCCCCGAGCAGCCTAACTGGGAGGCACCCCCCAGCAGGAGCACACTGACACCTCACACGGCAGGGTATTCCAACAGACCTGCAGCTGAGGGTCCTGTCTGTTAGAAGGAAAACTAACAAACAGAAAGGACATCCACACCAAAAACCCATCTGTACATCACCATCATCAAAGACCAAAAGTAGATAAAACCACAAAGATGGGGAAAAAACAGAACAGAAAAACTGGAAACTCTAAAACGCAGAGCGCCTCTCCTCCTCCAAAGGAACGCAGTTCCTCACCAGCAACGGAACAAAGCTGGATGGAGAATGACTTTGACAAGCTGAGAGAAGTCTTCAGACGATCAAATTACTCTGAGCTACAGGAGGACATTCAAACCAAAGGCAAAGAAGTTGAAAACTTTGAAAAAAATTTAGAAGAATGTATAACTAGAATAACCAATACAGAGAAGTGCTCAGAGGAGCTGATGGAGCTGAAAACCAAGGCTCGAGAACTACGTGAAGAATGCAGAAGTCTCAGGAGCTGATGCAATCAACTGGAAGAAAGGGTATCAGTGATGGAAGATGAAATGAAGCGAGAAGGGAAGTTTAGAGAAAAAAGAATAAAAAGAAATGAGCAAAGCCTCCAAGAAATATGGGACTATGTGAAAAGACCAAATCTACGTCTGATTGGTGTACCTGCAAGTGATGGGGAGAATGGAACCAAGTTGGAAAACACTCTGCAGGATATTATCCAGGAGAACTTCCCCAATCTAGCAAGGCAGGCCAACGTTCAGATTCAGGAAATACAGAGAACGCCACAAAGATACTCCTCGAGAAGAGCAACTCCAAGACACATAATTGTCAGATTCACCAAAGTTGAAATGAAGGAAAAAATGTTAAGGGCAGCCAGAGAGAAAGGTCAGGTTACCCTCAAAGGGAAGCCCATCAGACTAACAGCGGATCTCTCGGCAGAAACACTACAAGCCAGAAGAGAGTGGGGGCCAATATTCAACATTCTTAAAGAAAAGAATTTTCAACCCAGAATTTCATATCCAGCCAAACTAAGCTTCATAAGCGAAGGAAAAATAAAATACTTTACAGACAAGCAAATGCTGAGAGATTTTGTCACCACCAGGCCTGCCCTAAAAGAGTTCCTGAAGGAAGCACTAAACATGGAAAGGATTCGGTACCAGCCGCTGCAAAATCATGCCAAAATGTAAAGACCATCGAGACTAGGAAGAAACTGCATCAACTAACGAGCAAAATAACCAGCTAACATCATAATGACAGGATCAAATTCACACATAACAATATTAACTTTAAATGTAAATGGACTAAATGCTCCAATTAAAAGACACAGACTGGCAAATTGGATAAAGAGTCAAGACCCATTAGGGTGCTGTATTCAGGAAACCCATCTCACGTGCAGAGACATGCATAGGCTCAAAATAAAAGGATGGAGGAAGATCTACCAAGCAAATGGAAAACAAAAAATGGCAGGGGTTGCAATACTAGTCTCTGATAAAACAGACATTAAACCAACAAAGATCAAAAGAGACCAATAAGGGCATTACATAATGGTAAAGGGATCAATTCAACAAGAAGAGCTAACTATCCTAAATATATATGCACCCAATACAGGAGCACCCAGATTCATAAAGCAAGTCCTGACTGACCTACAAAGAGACTTAGACTCCCACACATTAATAATGGGAGACTTTAAAACCCCACTGTCAACATTAGACATATCAATGAGACAGAAGTTAACAAGGATACCCAGGAATTGAACTCAGCTCTGCACCAAGCAGACCTAATAGACATCTACAGAACTCTCCACCCCAAATCAACAGAATATACACTTTTTTCAGCACCACACCACACCTATTCCAAAATTGACCACATACTTGGAAGTAAAGCTCTCCTCAGCCAATGTAAAAGAACAGAAATTATAACAAACTATCTCTCAGACCACAGTGCAATCAAACTAGAACTCAAGATTAAGAATCTCACTCAAAACCGCTCAACTACGTGGAAACTGAACAACCTGCTCCTGAATGACTACTGGGTACATAACGAAATGAAGGCAGAAATAAAGATGTTCTTTGAAACCAATGAGAACAAAGACACAACATACCAGAATCTCTGGGACGCATTCAAAGCAGTGTGTAGAGGGAAATTTATAGCACTAAATGCCCACAAGAGAAAGCAGGAAAGATCCAAAATTGACACCCTAACATCACAATTAAAAGAACTAGACAAGCAAGAGCAAACACATTCAAAAGCTAGCAGAAGGCAAGAAATAACTAAAATCAGAGCAGAACTGAAGGAAATAGAGACACAAAAAACCCTTCAAAAAATTAATGAATCCAGGAGCTGGTTTTTTGAAAGGATCAACAAAATTGATAGACCGCTAGCAAGACTAATAAAGAAAAAAAGAGAGAAGAATCTAATAGATGCAATAAAAAATGATAAAGGGGATATCACCACCGATCCCACAGAAATACAAACTACCATCAGAGAATACTACAAACACCTCTACGCAAATAAACTAGAAAATCTAGAAGAAATGGATACATTCCTCGACACATACACTCTCCCAAGACTAAACTAGGAAGAAGTTGAATCTCTGAATAGACCAATAACAGGATCTGAAATTGTGGCAATAATCAATAGCTTACAAACCAAAAAGAGTCCAGGACCAGATGGATTCACAGCTGAATTCTACCAGAGGTACAAGGAGGAACTGGTACCATTCCTTCTGAAACTATTCCAATCAATAGAAAAAGAGGGAATCCTCCCTAACTCATTTTATGAGGCCAGCATCATTCTGATACCAAAGCCGGGCAGAGACACAACCAAAAAAGAGAATTTTAGACCACTATCCTTCATGAACATTGATGCAAAAATCCTCAATAAAATACTGGCAAAACGAACCCAGCAGCACATCAAAAAGCTTATCCACCATGATCAAGTGAGCTTCATCCCTGGGATGCAAGGCTGGTTCAATATACGCAAATCAATAAATGTAACCCAGCATATAAACAGAGCCAAAGACAAAAACCACATGATTATCTCAATAGATGCAGAAAAAGCCTTTGACAAAATGCAACAACCCTTCATGCTAAAAACTCTTAATAAATTAGGTTTTGATGGGATGTATTTCAAAATAATAAGAGCTATCTATGACAAACCCACAGCCAATATCATACTGAATGGGCAAAAACTGGAAGCATTCCCTTTGAAAACTGGCACAAGACAGGGATGCCCTCTCTCACCACTCCTATTCAACATAGTGTTGGATGTTCTGGCCAGGGCAATTAGGCAGGAGAAGGAAATAAAGGGTATTCAATTAGGAAAAGAGGAAGTCAAATTGTCCCTGTTTGCAGACGTCATGATTGTTTATCTAGAAAACCCCCTCGTCTCAGCCCAAAATCTCCTTAAGCTGATAAGCAACTTCAGCAAAGTCTCAGGATACAAAATCAATGTACATTCTTATACACCAGCAACAGACAAACAGAGAGCCAAATCATGAGTGAACTCCCATTCACAATTGCTTCAAAGAGAATAAAATATCTAGGAATCCAACTTACAAGGGATGTGAAGGACCTCTTCAAGGAGAACTATAAACCACTGCTCAAGGAAATAAAAGAGGATACAAACAAATGGAAGAACATTCCATGATCATGGGTAGGAAGAATCAATATCGTGAAAATGGCCATACTGCCCAAGGTAATTTACAGATTCAATGCCATCCCCATCAAGCTACCAATGACTTTCTTCACAGAATTGGAAAAAACTACTTTAAAGTTCATATGGAACCAAAAAAGAGCCCGCATCGCCAAGTCAATCCTAAGCCAAAAGAACAAAGCTGGAGGCATCACACTACCTGACTTCAAACTATACTACAAGGCTACAGTAACCAAAACAGCATGGTACTGGTACCAAAACACAGATATAGATCAATGGAACAGAACAGAGCCCTCAGAGATAACGCCGCATATCTACAACTATCTGATCTTTGACAAACCTGACAAAAACAAGCAATGGGGAAAGGATTCCCTATTTAATAAATGGTGCTGGGAAAACTGGCTAGCCATATGTAGAAAGCTGAAACTGGATCCGTTCCTTACACCTTATACAAAAATCAATTCAAGATGGATTAAAGACTTAAACGTTAGACCTAAAACCATAAAAACCCTAGAAGAAAACCTAGGCATTACCATTCAGGACATGGGCATGGGCAAGGACTTCATGTCTAAAACACCAAAAGCAATGGCAACAAAAGACAAAATTGACAAATGGGATCTAATTAAACTAAAGAGCTTCTGCACAGCAAAAGAAACTACCATCAGAGTGAACAGGCAACCTACAAAATGGGAGAAAATTTTCACAATCTACTCATCTGACAAAGGGCTAATATCCAGAATCTACGATGAAGTCAAACAAATTTACAAGAAAAAACAAACAACCCCATCAAAAAGTGGGCGAAGGACATGAACAGACACTTCTCAAAAGAAGACATTTATGCAGCCAAAAAACACATGAAGAAATGCTCATCATCACTGGCCATCAGAGAAATGCAAATCAAAACCACAATGAGATACCATCTCACACCAGTTAGAATGGCAATCATTAAAAGGTCAGGAAACAACAGGTGCTGGAGAGGATGTGGAGAAATAGGAACACTTTTACACTGTTGATGGGACTGTAAACTAGTTCAACCATTGTGGAAGTCAGTGTGGCGATTCCTCAGGGATCTAGAACTAGAAATACCATTTGACCCAGCCATCCCATTACTGGGTATATACCCAAAGGACTATAAATCATGCTGCTATAAAGACACATGCACACGTATGTTTATTGCGGCATTATTCACAATAGCAAAGACTTGGAACCAACCCAAATGTCCAACAATGATAGACTGGATTAAGAAATTGTGGCACACATACACCATGGAATACTATGCAGCCATAAAAAATGATGAGTTCATGTCCTTTGTAGGGACATGGATGAAATTGGAAAACATCATTCTCAGTAAACTATCGCAAGAACAAAAAACCAAGCACCGCATATTCTCACTCATAGGTGGGAATTGAACAATGAGATCACATGGACACAGGAAGGGGAATATCACACTCTGGGGACCGTTGTGGGGTGGGGGGAGGGGGGAGGGATAGCATTGGGAGATATACCTAATGCTAGATGACGAGTTAGTGGGTGCAGTGCACTAGCATGCCACATGTATACATATGTAACTAACCTGCACAATGTGCACATGTACCCTAAAACTTAAAGTATAATAAAAAAAAAGATGGAAAAAAAAAGAAAAAAAAAACTGTATGATGTATAGTATGTTACTCAGTGATAACATATTTTGCAAGTAGAACCAACAGATTTTACTTCTAGACCCAATGTTGAGTGTAAGAGAGAAGTAGGCAGTGTAAAGAGATGTCAAGAACACCAATGTTTCTGGCCTGAGTGACTGGAAGCGTGGCATTGCCGTGACCTAGGAGCAGGAAGGTTGCAGGAGCTGCTGGATGAAGGAGAACATCAGGAACTCATTTCTAGATATGTTACATTTTAGATGCCTATTAGTCATACAGAAGAAGGTGTCAAGTAGGCAGTTAGATATACAAGTTCAGGGAAGAGGTCCAGATTGGAGATATACATTCGGAAACCATCAATGAATAAACAATATTCGGACCCATAAGACTGGATGAGATTAGCCAAGGAGTGATTATAAAGAAAGAAGATTAAAACAGCTCTACTCAAAGGGTTGTTGTTTGTGGTAAGGTGTATGGGGGGGTGGTTTAGGTTAGATTACTGAGAGCTTTATTTATTGAGGGCAAATAGGTGCTAAGAGCCGTATATCCCTTAACTGATTCAATTTTCTAGGAAGTAAGTGATATTATTTTCTTCATATTTAAAAGTTTTTATATTTGCCCAAAGTCATAGAATTAGTAGAGATCACACAGGGATTTGAAACCACAACCCATGTTCTTAACCCATATACTTTATCTTATATATAAAATATAATTTTTATACATTATCTAATATATAAAAAACCTAATGCCAGTTGATCATTCTGACACATGATAAGCATTTGATTAAATGACCCTCCAATACTCTTATGAACTTGTGCCTTGAACAATAATTTGTTTGACAATGGCTTTGGGATCCTCACTTTCAAACATGCATGTTAATAATAATGACTCTTCTACCCAACCAAGGGCCAAATGAGGTAATATCTAAAGAAGTGGATCATAGATGATTCCATAGTTGTTAGAGAGCATTCTTGCTATCAATTCAAGATGAGTCTGGGTTTTGTGAATATGAGAGAATCCAATCAAATGGATTCTGCTCATGAAATACACACTCCAGTTGCACAGAAGTGTTGCATTTTAGAATAATGTTCCTTCTGTGAGATGTTTGACCTTGACTAGGCACTAATATTTCAACAACTGGCTGCTCATAAACTGGAATACAAACTGAAGTACTTGACTGAAGAAATAAAAATCGAGTATTTCCACAATGGCAAGGATTTTTTTTTAATCAGGATTTTGAATTTTTTTAATCACTTTCGCTATTGAAATATTATAATATTCAATTATCTTTTTAAATTTGTAAACCACTGTAAAAGCATTTTAGTTGTTTTCCCATTTCTTGATTTTAATGTTAGAAAATATTTCTGTACATAATACACACTCCCAGGATATTTGGGAATTTGACCCTATATCCCAAATGCCCAGCCTGTGTTTTTTAAGGAACAGGTAGACAACATATGGAATTTGAAGTTGGAAGACCATTGTTAAGTTCTGACACCTAAGTTTTTCAAAAGTTTATCCTAAAGCATGCTTTTTCTTCTCTTCCTACTATAGTACCTTCCTGCAGATATGGCAGGATGAGAGACTCAGACAGAAGACCTCTTTGGTCTTGGGTTACTTTACTGACCATCAATCAACAGAGTTATATCAGGAGCTTTCCACTCCAAACAGTACAAAATACAAAACACAGAATTATAACCAACTAAACATCCACTGCCCCCTAAGCACATGCTTATCTCTGAACCCCATACACTGAGATAAAAAATAAACAAAAGTTGTAGTCCTTGCTCCCTAGCAGCCACAATCTATGTCCAAAACCACGCATAGATAAAAAATAATTTTAAACAATTATAAACAACATTTAAACAAAAATAAACAACATAAGAATGACCGTGATTTAGTGTGTGATAAAAACTCAAAATGAGGAAAAATAATTATAGAATCATCAGGGAGGAGATCATGGAGGTTGACTGTAGGTAGCTGCATCCATTTGCAGTGTTTCATTTCCTACTAAAGGTTTTATCAGTTTCTGTAGCCACACCATTGAATAATCTTTGATAGAAATTTCACTGCTCTATGACTCAGTTTCTTCATATATCCATTTGTTGAGGTTGAGTTATTGTTTGTTTTTTTGTTTTGTTTGATTTTTGATACAGGGTCTTGTTCTGTTGCCCAGGCTGGAGTGCAGTGGCACAATCACTGGTCGCTGCCACCTCCACCTCCCTGGCCCATGTGATCCTCCTACCTCAGCCTCCTGAGTAGCTGGGATTAAGGGTGCATGCCACCATGCTCAATTAATTTTTGCATTTTTTCTGGAGACAAGGTTTCACTATGTTGCCCAGGCTAGTCTCAAACTCCTGGGCTCAAGCAATCCACCCACCTCAGCCTGCCAAATTGCTAGGATTAGAGGTGTGAGCCACTTTGAATATAACACTCCTTCTTTCTTGTAAAATTCACAGGGTGATAATTGGAAAACATCGAGAAATATCTCATTTTATTTTTGCAGATATATTCAAGGTGTTTTAATTAAATTATCTATCGTAGACATATCTATGATAATTAAAAGATGACACAGTGAGCCAAGTTATCTCTGCAGCCTAAACTTAAAGTAGACAAAAATAAAAATCTTATGACAAGGTAGATTCACACAGAATTGTGAATGAAGCTTACAGGTTTATAAACATTCCAGTCAGTATTTTTAATATACCAGAAGTGGGATGTTGAGAAATAAATCAGCAAAGTGTTTCTAACAAGTGAATAAGGGCTTTTTTTTCTTTCTTTCTTTTTTTTTGAGCATTAAGTTTTTGAGAAGTTGGGTAAAAATTAGTTAACTTTATTGCTGCCAGGAGCATTTGAACCATTAATTTTTCCCTGGATTAATTGGACGGCAGAAATGTCCTTGGTCAATTTCTAAGTGAAAGACATAGAAGGAAATAGAAGGAATTCTTCCTTCTAATTCAACCCATGAGATGGGCCTAAGAAATATTTGTCAAATAAATTAAAAAGTATATGAAAGAGTCAATCAATGTTAAAAAATAGACATCTATATACTGAAAATGATCTTGCTCTTTTGAGAGGAAATGATTTGTCGTTACTGTATTTGCTGAGCATTTTTTTTGTTATAAAATTGAAAGTACAGGATTCTAGAAATTTGCTTTGAAGTAGTTATCTAAGAGACAAACTATCAAACAGAACCTAGTGATATGAGTAAGCTCAACACTTGTCAATATTCTCAGGTCTACCTATAGCTGAGAACTGCAGAAACTCCTACTGATAAGCAGGAAGTTTTCATGACATTTAATAAGTAGCTCCAGCTGAAATAAAATGAAATGAGAAGTATAAGCTGGAGGCAGCCGAGAAGCAACAGGAAACTGATAATGCCCTTGGAAGAAGAGGTTACCATTAAAGGCCCCTCATCAAACAACTAAGCACAGATCCACAGGCAAATCGATAAACAGAACCAGACCTAACAGCCTGCTGGTGAATATGGTTCAAACAGACTAGATAAGATGGAAAGAAATTGACCAGCGTTGAGGATGCAATTTCCAGGAGTCATCTCTCCCTGTAGCTCAAAGAAGACTTAAGGAGATACTAGACATGGGGTAGAAGTTCAAGGCAGCTGTGTGTGGAGAGGAGTGAGGAGTTCTGTTCCAACAGGACCCTTAGGGGCTGTTGGAACTTCTAAGAGGAAATTTAGCACAGGCTGGTGCCAAAGAATTCACCTCCAAAATCTAAACCCAACATAGATTCCAAAGTTTGTGAGGGAAATTTAAATGTCCCCCAAAAGGCCAGGCATAGCCGTGGCCCAGAGTGCAGGGGATCCCTAAATAGACCCCCAATACCCAAAAACTTCCTTGACAGTTCCCCTCAGGAGCCTCAAAGAAACTACAAACTCAATGTATTAGAAACAAAAATTGATGATCATTTACTGAAAACCAGGTCTTCCACCTCCATTGCTTCCTAACTCAACAAATGGTATCCCCATTTCTCCAGTCTCATATCCAGAAAACTAGGCCTCACTCCTGGCCCCCTCTCCCCCACTCTCCAAACTGAACTTTCTTAAATATAACCATTACTCTCCACCTCCACCACGATGCTACTTTAGGCCACTCCCCTGGTTCATGTGGATTCCAAAGTAACCCCCTAACTAATCTCTCCCCAACCACCATCGCTCCCTACAATCTGTTTCAGCCTTGCAGCCAGAGTGGGCATCTTTCCAAAATGCAAATCTGACCATGTCAAACCACTACATACCACTACTCGAAGCCCTTTAAAGGCCTCTCATGGCTTTGGGGATAAAGAGGGAACTCCTTACCATGGTGTATGAAGGCCAGAATTCTCTGGCTCCTGCTCACATCTCCAGCTTCTTCTAGTTCCACACTGCCCCTCAGCAATCTGTTCTGGCCATTGCATCCTTCTTTTGGTTCTCTGCTGTCACTAAATCCCATCTTGCTAAAAGGTCTTTCTGTTAAGGAATTCCATCTCATCCTTTCAGACTTTAGGTCAAACAGTATCTCCCCCAGAGAGCCTTTCCTAATGTCTCTGGCCAGGTACCAGTAATCTCTCCTGTGCAGCTCTTCTCACAGTTGCAATTTTACACTGATACTCATAATTTGTTTTTATTACTATTCACATTCCTCCTAAACTCTCTAAATTCCATGAGTATAAGTTGAGCATCTGATTTTGCTCACCAGTGGACCCCTAGCTCTCAGAAGATAGCAAACAGGCCAAGCATTGTTGAAAATTAAATGAATGAATGGCACAGAAAGAAGCCAGAAAGACAGCCAGGGAACTCCACCTTCCTGCTTCTGGTCCCTCTTACACATGACTAGGAATAAATTTAAAACATGGCTTATTTTGTCCTGAATTGCTCCCTTTGCCCAGAAATTGTTTGGTGAACACCCTAAGATTTGACTGCAGCAGAGTGAGGTGCCAGGTTATAATTCAATCAGGACATAAGGCTTTAGGCACTGCCCAATCAGCATTTTTAGGGCTCATTGATGAAATGAGAATTTTCCCCCTATAATACAAGTGCAATTTTAATGACAGGAAATTTTTGAGATATGTAAAGTATAATTTTTTTGAAACCTAGGACAATGAAGAAAAATTTCTCATGATAGTTTTTATCATTATAGGCTAGAAATGAAAAAGATACTTTAAAGACCTTATTAGTGAGATAACAGAGAAGAATCATTGTTAGAAAAGATTTTTTAATGAAATGTAATATCTATATGTATTTTCTGCCAGAGAAGAAATTAATTTAAAAGTTTCCACAATAATCACTCATAAATGATAGTATAAGTGAAGGATCATAGGTTCTGTTTGCTTTAATTCACCTCTATTTATATGTTTCAGACCAAAACCCTCTTCTATCAAAGTTCTCAGATTTAATATATAATTTTCAAATAATCTACAATAAATATTTATAATATACATCCATACTACTTCAGTTCTAAAGGCAATGTTTGCTTATTTGTTTGTTATAATGAAATCTGTTCATTAGGTGTTTTTAGAAAACTTCAAAAGGTTTTGTTTCAAAGCACCTAAATTATTGAAAAATAAACAGACAAGCTTATATAGGCAAAACACATACACACACACATATGCACACACACTCATCCTCACAGCTTTAACATATTGTTAATAATACTAACAGAACTCTTTATTGAGGACTTAGTGCATGTCAACCACTGTGATGGACACTTGCTTCATGGATATTGTCTCCTACCACCCACTACTACTTTGTGAATCAGATTCTATTTCTGTTCCCATTTTATCATCCTTTTTATAATTCTGATAAAATATTAGGGCTTAAAAGGGTTAAAATTTTGTCCATTAACTATAATAACCTGGGTTCAATAAAACATTAGTCAATAAAACAAAGTGCTGGGATTACAGGCGTGAGCCACCGCGCCCGGCTGACTTGGTGGTCTTTGATTAATGTTCTGGGAATGGTTAGTGTTGGTTCCAATGGAATAGCCTTTCCTGGTTGCTGAATGTTTACAAGTGCAAATCTAAAGTTCAATCTGAATAGACATAATCCTCAGAACACTGGGTGATAGTTGCCACTCTAGGTGACCACTGTCATTCTGTTTGTGCTTCTATTTCCCATTAGAGTTGAGGTTAAATTCTTAAACAGTCTCATGTTAGGAAATGTTGTCTTCTCTAATTTAACAAAATGTTCCGTTTGGGGGCAGAATTTGCCAGGTAATTACCATAGAGTGGTCACCTTATTTTGATATTCGTCAGGAACTATCTTTATCCCTGCAGAGGGTATGTGTCCCCACTCCATGCTACTGCTCTGCACAGTGAAGACCCTTCATGCTGCTCTTGGTGCAGCCAACATCATTCTTTTCTGTAAGCATCATAAAACATAGGGCAAAAAAATAATTCTGTGGGATCAACTCACTGGACTGAGACACATGTCAAGTTAATGTCAAAGCTAGACTGGCAATGCACTAGGCTGTCATAATGTAGTCTGCATTTCTTTAATCATAAGTTAAGCAATCATTTTTCTGATTGCATAATTCTCTTTTGGGAGATATGATATGTACTTCAAAATCCCCTAGTGTTGTTAGAATGTTTTTCTCTTGACCTAGAAAGGGGAAACTATAAGAGGTTTCCTGCTGAATTAACTCCCAAAAAAGAACTGTTTGGTAAATTTAGTTATTTAACATATCTGTTCCTATTTCCATTAAGAAAAATGTGACAAAATGAAAACACCAAGTTTTACTTTTGCCCAGTGCTTCTATAGATGAAACTCATTCTTAACATTGGGTCATAGAGAGAACTCTGGACTTGGTGCCAGCAACTGAATTCTAGATATTGTGCCTTCTGCCATTTACCCTTTCAACCTGCTAAGGAACTTGAAGATACTCTCCCTCCACAGCTGAGCTTATTCACCTTCGAAATGGGCTTAGAGTGGAAAGCCTACACCAATTCATTTATGCCATCTATGCAAATATTCATTGGCCTAAGTTTTCAAAGAACAAACAATAAACACTTAATTTAAGAAAATGGAAAAGATGACTGCCAGTACTGATACTGTAGTTTACTCAATGATAATTTAATTAGAACACTTTAATATCCCATAAGAGTGTGTGACAAGAAAAAAAGAAAGAAAGAAAGAAAGAAAAACCAAGCAGCTTTGCTAAGCTGGGCTCACTGAGTTAAATACAGTTAAATATATTGACTGTTCCTCAACAATTCTGCACTCAATATCTTATTTCCTGATAAATTTTCAGAAAGATTCTCAAAAAGCTTTAGACTCTCTTATCTTCCAATAAGTCTATAGAGATACTTTTATGTGGATGAAACATGTTTTCAGGGGAAGTCACTAAATTAATAGCATTTAATTGAGTCCTTTTTTATTGATAGCTACTAAAACTATATGTTGTCCAAACAACAGTCCATCTAACAAGCTTTCCACACAGCCTACAGATAGTAGTTTATTTCACAAAGGTCAGTGGATCAGTTTCATTTGTCATGCTCTGCGGTAGTTAACAAGAGTGTTGATAGCATGTTTATCACTATATATGCTAGAACGTTGTGTTTTTCATTCATCATTTCAATTACTTACATAGTGTGGCATAACAAAGCACTGGCTTAAAATGCAGCAGTAAGTCTCCCTTCTGATTTAAAAGCTGTATGCATCTCTGACAGTTCTGAGCAATGCTTTATATGGCTTTGTTTACCTTGTTCTAAGATGAAATGACAATTCATTTTTCATAAATAATCTGAAGAGTCTTTGCAGCAGATATTTTTTCCTTTGAAGTAAATTTAAAAGAGGGCTTCAGATGTATACATATATTTTTTATTAAGTAGCAAATGGAAAATACCTCCAAAAGTTTTGCCCTGTGACATCTGGTAGAAAGTCTTGTAAAACAGAAGCCACTCTATAGGTAAATGACAAATATACTATCTAAAAGCCATAATTTATACCTCTTTTTGAACACACAATTTTCCACATGCTAGAGTTTGGATACTACTCTCCTATTACCTGTATATTGGAAACACAATCAAATCATTGTGTTAGAACAAGAAAGCATTAGGCTCTTGGATAATGGATCTTATGCTAAAAAGTACACATTTTGAAGTGTTCTGTTTTTCATTTTTGAGGTAGCTGTGCTTTGAATTTACTTACTAACTTCCTTTACTCAGTGTGGGAGCTATGGAAGAACTCCAGAGTAGAGAGCAAGAGATTTCAGGTTCTGGTCTGGGCCCTAGCATTCGTTTTTTGGAAATAACTAGTTAGTTAGTTAGTTTGGTTGATTGATTTTGAGACGGAGTCTCGCTCTGTCACCAGGCTGGAGTGAAGTGGCGTGATCTCAGCTCACTGCAACCTCCGCCTCCCAAGTTCAAGGGATTCTCCTCTCTCAGCCTCCGGAATAGCTGGGACTACAGGCACGCACCACCATATCCAGCTGATTTTTGTATTTTTAGTAGAGACGGGGTTTCACCATGTTGGCCAGGATGGTCTCAATCTCTTGACCTCGTGATCCACCCACCTCAGCCACCCAAAGTGCTGGGATTGCAGACATGAGCCACCGCGAGCTGTAAATAACTAGTTTTTGAGAAAATACTGAAATTTCTTGGGCCTCAGTTCTCAGAACTATAAAACTAGACAAGAAGGTCTTCAAATCTTCCAGGTCTATAAGGAATCTATGATTTCATAATCCAAAGAAAGCAACATGATATAAGTAAAACACTTTAAATTCATAAAGAACATTTGTGAATTCTGCTATTAACTAACAAGAGGGGTGAGGTTTCAGAAAGCATAGCTGTGTCTGATAAAGAAAGGGTATATTTAGAATGAATCCTTTTCATTAATTAAGGTGTCTTTCTTGTTTAATTTTCCCAGGGTATTACATTCAATACAATTACATCTGTTTTCAATAATAATATCTTTTCTTTTAGGGAATTGTGTTTTTAATATAATAAATTTAGTTTTACCATAAAAGTATAATAATGTATGCATTTTATTACATTTTTATCTCCTACAAATATATAAAAGGAAAGAAAATGGTTCTGTACTTTCCACATAACATGTATGCTAAAATAGCTTATAGGCATACTTTGCATTTAATTATACTGACATCATCTAGGAGTCTCATAAAATTTTAATATGTATCTGTATTTTATACATGGGGAAACAGGCAGAAGATAAACATGGGACCCGTTCTTGAACACAGTAATTGCTGAGCAGGCCAAAGATGAAAATTCTGACTCTACCATCCTGGTAAAAGGCATTATGCTTAGCTCACTATTGCTAGCTTTTCCTGTCTCTGAAATTTTCCTACTGATATATTTCCAAATGTCTTTATAGTACTGACAAAAATTTTGAGTGGGACCACTAACATCATCAAAAATCATAACCAAAAATCATAAGCAAAAACTAAGAATAATATGAGTATAAAATAAGACAAGTGGCTAATATACTTAGTAAATAAATTTCTGGAACTCATAGGAAATAAAAGATAGGACCCCTGTTGAAAAAATAATAGATAAGTGAGCATAGCATATGAACTGGCTATTCAAAAATTAGGAAAACAAATTTAATGAATCTATTTTAAAAGTCCAAACTCATTAATGATAAAAGAAATACAAACTGACACTGCAAGAAATACCTTCTTTAGTGTACCAAAGGAGAAAAGATTTGAAAGAGGGATAGTACTCAATGAGAGAATATGATGAGATAGCCATTTTCATATGCTGCTGGTGGGAATTTAAATGATCATATTCTCTTCTGGAAAGCATCTAGGGAAATAATATGTATTAAGAGACTTAAAGGTGTTCCATACTGTTTGGCCCAGCAATTCCCCTTCTAGGAATGCACCCAAAAGAAATAATCCAAAATGCACATACATATGCAAAAACAGATTTTTATTACAAGTATAACAGCAGAGGGAGAATAACCTAAATGTCCAAAAATAAAGGAACCATTAAATAAATTACAGCACATCTATAGCATAGAAAGTCACACAACTCCTAATATTATTTATGAAGTATCTTCAATGACATGTGAAAAGATTGATGAAATAGTGTTGGAGGTGGGAGAATATTACAAAGCTATATACACAATGTGATTTCAAGTATGTTAATATTAACATAGATCATAGGCCTAAACGTAAAAACTAAAACCATAAAGCCTTTCAAAGAAAATCAAGAATAGTGTTTTCATAATGTGAGGTAGGCAAAGATTTCTTAGGCAGAATGCAGTAAGTGATAACCGTAGGAAAAAAAATTTGATGAATTAGATTTCATTAAAATTTAAAATTTGTGTTCATCAAAAGATAGCATATATTTTTCTGTATGTCTGTGGCTTGTGTATTCTTCTAAATGCTATCTTCTCTTCTGCTATTTTCCTCTTCTTAGGAATAGGCAAGCCACAGACATACAGAAAATATCACAAATTATATGTCTACATGCAGAACATATAATGAATTACAACTTAGTAAGCAATTCCAAATAAGTAAAGGCACAGCAGACACTTCACAGAAAAAAATATACAAATGACCAATAAGCACATTAAAAAAGTGTTCCACATTATTAGTCATCAGGGATATTTAAGCTATAATTCCAATGAGATACCACTACACATTCACTAGAATGGGTGAAACATATTTGTAGTCTTTGACCCAGCAATTTCACTTCTAGGCATTTATCCAAGAGAAGTCATAACTCATGCCCACAAAAAGTCTTGTACAAGAATGTTCATAGCAGTTATAGTCACAAAAGCTGGAATCAACTCAAATGTCTACAACATGAGAATAGATCAATTATACTCACACGATGGAATACTATGGAACAATGAAAAGGAGTCATAGCACAGGTAAGTCTTACAGACAGAATACTGAATGAAAGAAACAAAAAAGACAACATACTGAATTATTTCATCTATATGAATTTCTAAAATAGGCAAAACTAATATAAGGGGGGAAAAACGAACAGTGGCTGCCTCAAGGGTGGGAAGAAGAGCATTAGAAATTGACTGGAAAGAGACACAAGAGAATTTCCTGGGTAGATTGCTATGCTTCCTATCATGCTAGTGTGCATATATTAGTCAGCTCAGGCTGCTTTACAAAATAGCAAAATACTGGGTGGATTATTTCTCACAGTTTTGGAGGTTGGAAAGTCCAAGATCAAGGTACAGCCATGGCAGGTATCAATCTGAGGCCTCTTACCTTGGCGTGTAGGCACTGCCGTCACACCATATGCTGACATGATCTCTTCTTTGTGCATGCACAGAAAGAGAGATCTCCGGCATCTCTTCCTCTCCTGATAAGAACATGAGCCCTATCAGATTAAGGCCCCATCCTATGACTTCACTTAACCATTATTACCTCCTTATAGACCCTGTCTCCAAATATAGTCACATTGGGAGTTAAGAATTCAGTATATGAATTATGGAGGGACACCATTTAGTCTGTAACAGTACAGTTACATAAGTAGATCCATTTGCCAATATTGTACGGTTAAGATTTGTATTTTCCATGATTATAAATTCTACCTTGAAAATTTTATTAAAGAATAATAAATGGAGGGTTGGAGAATGGGTATTAGAATAGACGAAAAAAATAACTGGTTGAAATAACTGTTTGAATGTTGAACAATTTTAAACTTGGGTGATATGTACATGGAGATTCATTATTCTATCTACTTTATATTTGTAATGATTCTATTTAATTTGTATATTTAAAATTTTAAAAAATAAAGTGTCAAATAAGCAAAGAAAGCAAAGTCAAATAAGCAAAGAAAAATGAATGTGTCAATATCAAAGATACTTTGTAGAGATGAAAATTGTGTGTGACATTTTTCTACATTGAGCTCCATCTTAGTTCGGGTCACATTATGCGTCTTGGGCTGGTCACATTATGCGTCTTGTGCAGGTCACCTACTGGGCTTAATTTATTCACCTAGAAAATAAATTCATTACTTAGATTTATTGAGTATTCATTAGGTGCAAGATACTAAGCACTATGGTGAGTTTAGCTCACACAATCACCAAAATCTTATTCAGCATTTAAATTCTATAACCATTTTTATGTCATGTATGCAGGTCACCCTCTCTTTTGCTGCATGTAATTCTCAAGATGTTTTGCCTTTATATCTTGTGTTAATTGTTACTACTTGTAGAGATAGGATTCAATAGGCCAGGACAACAGTCATCTTTCAGCAGATTTGTTTTCTACTAAAGTCTTTTGGTCTAGTGAAATTTCTAGAATAGTTATAGGGTTGAGAAAATAGATGACTATATGAAGAATTTTATGAAAAAACACGACTCTATTTCAAGCAATTAAATTAAGTATAAAAAAGCAAATATAGCTAAATAAATATATACATTTAAGAATTCAATAGATTATTCTAAAGACAAATCAAACTCAAATGACTACTAATGAAACTGAATATTTCAGTATAAAACTTCCAGACTGAAATACAGTGAGAACAAAAGAATGGAAAATTATTTTCCATTCTCTTATCTGTTTTCAGAAGATAAGAGACATATACAATACAGTGAAAAGGTCAAACATACATTTAACCAAAGAATCAGAATAGAAGGAGAGAGAAAATTGGGCAAAAACAATATTTAAAGAGCAATTGGCTGAGAATATGCAAAAATGATCAACCTAAAACATTGAGCTTTAGGCTAAAAAAAAAACTCTAAAATCCCAAACAGGATGCAAAAAAACATAGTCAAATTGCTGAAAATGAAAGATAAAGAAAAAAATTTAAAAAGGAACAGAAGAAAAAGGGGAACATTATCTTCAAGGGCACCACAATGAGGCTTATAGTTAACTATTAAATATAAGCAATGAAAGCTATGGAATCAATGGAATGACATGTTTAAAATGCTGAAAGAGGCTGGGTACAGTGGCTCACACCTGTAATCCCAGCACTTTGGGAGGCCAAGAGGGGTGGATCACCTGAGGTCAGGAGTTTGAGACCAGCCTGGCCAACATGGTGAAACTCCATCTCTATTAAAAATACAAAAATTGCCTGGGCTTGGTGACAGGCACCTGTAATTCCAGCTACTTGGGAAGCTGAGGAAGGAGAATTGCTTGAACCCGGGAGGTGGAGGTTGCAGTGAGCCAAGACCAAGCCATTGCACTCCACCCTGGGTGACAGAGTGAGACTCTGTCTCAAAAAAAAAAAAATGCTGAAAGATAAAACTGACAGCTTAGAATTTGATATTTAGCAAAAATAACCTTCAAAGGGTGAAATAAAAATGTTTAAAGACAAACAAAAATGGAGAGAATTTGTTCCTAGCAGACTTGGGCTAAAATAAAATACTAAGAGAGTTTTTTGGGTAAATAAAAAATGGCCCAAAAGTTCTGTTCCAAGATGGCTGAATAGGAACAACTATGGTCTGCAGCTCCCAGCGTGATCGACGAGGAAGACAGGTGATTTTTGCAATTCCAACTGAGGTACCTGGTTCATCTCATTGGGACTGGTTGGACAGTGGGTTCAGCCTATGGAGGGTGAGCTGAAGCAGGGCAGGGCATCACCTCACCTGGGAAGTGCAAGGGGTCAGGGGATTTCCCTTTCCTAGCCAAGGGAAGCAGTGACAGGCTGTACCTGGAAAAACGGGACACTCTTGCCCAAATACTGCACTTCTCCCATGGTCTTAGCAACCGGCAGACCAGGAAATTCTTTCCCATGCCTGGCTTGGCAGGTCCCACGCCCACAGAGCCTCGCTCACTGCTAGTGCAGCAGTCTGAGATCGACCTGCGAGGCAGCGGCCTGGCGGGGGGAGGGGCATCTGCCATTGCTGAGGGTTGAGTAGGTAAACAAAGTGGCCAGGAAGCTCAAACTGGGCAGAGCCCACCTCAGCTCAGCAAGGCCTACTGCCTCTATAGACCCCACCTCTGTGAGCAGGGCATACCTGAACAAAAGGTAGCAGAAACTTCTGCAGACTTAAACGTCCCTGCCTGACAGCTCTGAAGAGATCAGTCATTCTCCCAGCACGGCGTTTGAGCTCTGAGAATAGACAGACTGCCTCCTCAAGTGGATCCATGACGCCCGTGTAGCCTAACTGGGAGACACCTCCCAGTAGGAGCTGACAGACACCTCATACAGGCAGGTGCCCCTCTGGGACGAAGCTTCCAAGGATCAGGCAGCAATATTTGCTGTTCTGCAATCTTTGCTATTCTGCAGCCTCTGCTGGTGATACCCAGACAAACAGGGTCTGGAGTGGACCTCGAGCAAACTCCAACAGACCTGCAGCTGAGGGACCTGACTGTTAGAAGGAAAACTAACAAACAGAAAGGAATAGCACCAACATCAACAAAAAGGTTTTCTACAACAAAACGCCATCTGTAGGTCACCAACATCAAAGACCAAAGGTAGATAAAACCACAAAGATGGGGAGAAACCAGAGCAGAAAAGCTGAAAATTCTAAAAACCAGAGCACCTCTTCTCCTCCAAAGGATCACAGCTCCTTGCCAGCAACGGAACAAAACTGGACGGAGAATGCCTTTGACGAGTTGACAGAAGTAGGCTTCAGAAGGTTGGTAATAACAAACTTCTCTGAGCTAAAGGAGCATGTTCTAACCCATCACAAGGAAGCTAAAAACCTTGAAAAAAGGTTAGACAAATGTCTAACTAGAATAAACAGTGTAGAGAAGGCCTTAAATGACCTGATGGAGCAGAAAACCGTGGCACAAGAACTTCGTGATGCATGCACAAGCTTCAATACCCAATTTGATCAAGTGGAAGAAAGGATGTCAGTGATTGAAGATCAAATTAATGAAATGAAGTGAGAAGACAAGTTTAAAGAAAAAAGAGTAAAAAGAAATGAACAAAGCCTCCAAGAAATATGGGACTATGTGAAAAGACCAAATCTACATTCGATTGGTGTACCTGAAAGTGACGGGGAGAATGGAACCAAGTTGGAAAACACTCTGCAGGATATTATCCGGGAGAACTTCCCCAATCTAGCAAGGCAGGCCAAGATTGAAATTCCGGAAATACAGAGAGCACCACAAAGATACTCCTTGAGAAGAGCAACCCCGAGACACATAATTGTCAGATTCACCAAGGTGGAAATGAAGGAAAAAATGCTAAGGGTAGCCAGAGAGAAAGTTTGGATTACCCACAAAGGGAAGCCCATCAGACTAACAGCGGATCTCTCAGCAGAAACCTTACAAGCCAGAAGAGAGTAGGGGCCAATATTTAACATTCTTAAAGAAAAGAATGTTCAACCCAGAATCTCATATCCAGCCAAACTAAGCTTCATAAGTGAAGAAGAAAATAAAATCCTTTACAGACAAGCAAATGCCAAGAGATCTTGTCACCACCAGGCCTGCCTTACAAGAGATCGTGAAGGAAGCACTAAACATGGAAAGAAACAACTGGTACCAGCCACTGCAAAAACATGACAAATTGTGAAGACCATTAATGCTATGAAGAAACTGCATCAATTAATGGGCAAAATGACCAGCTAACATCATAATGACAGGATCAAATTCACCCATAACAATATTAACCTTAAATGTAAGTGGGCTAAATGTCCCCAATTAAAAGACACAGACTGGCAAATGGGATAAAGAGTCAAGACCCATCAGTGTGCTGTATTCAGAAGACCCATCTCACATGCAGAGACACACATAGGCTCAAAATAAAGGGATGGAGGAACATCTACCAAGCAAATGGAAAACAAAAAAAGGCAAGGGTTGCAATCCTAGTTTCTGATAAAACAGACTTTAAACCAACAAAGATCAAAAGAGACAAAGAAGGCCATTACAAAATGGTAAAGGGATCAATTCAAAACAAGAGCTAACTATCGTAAATATATATGCACCCAATACAGTAGCACCCAGATTCATAAAGCAAGTCCTTAGAGACCTACAAAAGGACTTAGACTCCCACACAATAATAGTGGGAGACTTTAACACCCCATGGTCAATATTAGACAGATCAATGAGACAGAAGGTTAACAAGGATATCCAGGACTTGAACTCAGCTCTGCACCAAGTGGATCTAATAGATATCTACAGAACTCTCCACCCCAAATCAACAGAATATACATTCTTCTCAGCACCACATCACACTTATTCTAAAACTGACCACATAATTGGAAGTAAAGCACTCCTCAGCAAATGTAAAAGAACAGAAATCACAACAAACTGTTTCTCAGACCACAGTGCAATCAAATTAGAACTCAGGATTAAGAAACTCACTCAAAACCACACAACTACACGGAAATAGAACAACCTGCTCCTAAATGACTACTGCGTAAATAACGAAATGAAGGCAGAAATAAAAATGTTCTTTGAAACCAATGAGAACAAAGACACAACGTACCAGAATCTCTGGGACACATTTAAAGCTGTGTGTAGAGGGAAATTTATAGCACTAAATGCCCACAAGAGAAAGTGTAGGAAAGATCTAAAATTGACACCCTAACATCACAATTAAAAGAACTAGAGAAGCAAGAGCAAACAAATTCAAAAGCTAGCAGAAGACAAGAAATAACTAAGATCAGAGCAGAACTGAGGGAGATAGAGACACAAAAAACCCTTCAAAAAAATCAATACATCCAGGAGCTGGTTTTTTGAAAAGATCAACAAAATTGATAGACCACTAGCAAGACTAATAAAGAAGAAAAGAGAGAAGAATCAAATAGATGCAATAAAAAATGATAAAGGGGATATCACCACCGATCCCACAGAAATACAAACTACCATCAGAGAATACTACAAACACCTCTACGCAAATAAACTAGAAAATCTAGAAGAAATGGATAAATTCCTGGACACATACACCCTCTCAAGACTAAACCAGGAAGAAGTTGAATCTCTGAATAGACCAATAACAGGCTCTGAAGTTGAGGCAATAATTAATAGCTTACCAACCAAAAGAAGTCCAGGACCAGACGGATTCAGAGCCAAATTCTACCAGAGGTACAAAGAGGAGCTGGTACCATTCCTTCTGAAACTATTCCAAACAATAGAAAAAGAGGGAATCCTCCCTAACTCATTTTATGAGGACAGCATCATCCTGATACCAAAGCCTGGTAGAGACACAACAAAAAAAGAGAATTTTAGACCAATATCCCTGATGAACATAGATATGAAAATCCTCAATAAAATACTGGCAAACTGAATCCAGCAGCACATCAAAAAACTTATCCACCATGATCAAGTGAAGTGGGCTTCATCCCTGGGATGCAAGGCTGGTTGAATATATACAAATCAATCAACATAATCCATCACATAAACAGTACCAATGACGAAAACCACATGATTATCTCAATAGATGCAGAAAAAGCCTTCGACAAAATTCAACACCCCTTCATGCTAAAAACTCTCAATAAACTAGGTATTGATGGAACGTATCTCAAAATAATAAGAGCTATTTATGACAAACCCACAGCCAATATCATACTGAATGGGCAAAAACTGGAAGCATTCCCTTTGAAAACTGGCACAAGACAAGGATGCCATCTCTCACCACTCCAATTCAATAAAGTGTTGGAAGTTCTGGCCAGGGCAATTAGGCAAGAGACAAAAATAAAGGGTATTCAATTAGGAAAAGAGGAAGTCAAATCGTCCCTGTTTGCAGATGACATGATTGTATATTTAGAAAACCCCATCGTCTCAGCCCAAAATCTCCTTAAGCTGATAAGCAACTTCAGCAAAGTCTCAGGATACAAAATCAATGTGCAAAAAACACAAGCATTCTTATACCCCAATAACAGACAGCGAGCCAACTCATGAGTGAACTCCCATTCACAATTGCTACAAACAGAATAAAATACCTAGGAATCCAACTTACAAGGGATGTGAAGGACCTCTTCAAGGAGAACTACAAACCACTGCTCAACGAAATAAAAGAGGACACAAACAAATGGAAGAACATTCTATGCTCATGGACAGGAAGAAACAACGTCATGAAAATGGCCACACTGCCCAAGGTAATTTATAGATTCAATGCCATCCCCATCAAGCTACCAATGACTTTCTTCACAGAATTGGAGAAAACTACTTTGAAGTTCATATGGAACCAAAAAAGAGCCCACATTGCCAAGACAATCCTAAGCGAAAAGAACAAAGCTGGAGGCATCATGCTACCTGACTTCAAACTATACTTTAAGGCTACAGTAACCAAAGCAGCATGGTACTGGTGCCAAAACAGAGATATAGACCAATGGAACAGAACAGAGGCCTCAGAAATAACACCACACATCTACAACCATCTGATCTTTGACAAACCTGACAAAAACAAGAAATGGGGAAAGGATTCCCTCTTTAATAAATGGTGCTGGGAAAACTGGCTAGCCATATGTAGAAAGCTGAAACTGGATCCCTTCCTTACACCTTACACAAAAATTAATTCAAGATGGATTAAAGACTTAAATGTTAGACCTAAAACCATAAAAACCCTAGAAGAAAACCTAGGCAATGCCATTCAGGACATAGGCATGGGCAAGGACTTCATGACTAAAACACCAAAAGCAATGGCAACAAAAGCCAAAATTGACAAATGGGATCTAATTAAACTAAAGAGCTTCTGCATGGCAAAAGAAACTCCCATCGGAGTGAACAGGCAACTTACAGAATGGGAGAAAATTTTTGCAATCTACCCATCTGACAAAGGGCTAATATCCAGAATCTACAAAGAACTTAAACAAACGTACAAGAAAAAAACAAACAACCCCATCGAAAAGTTGGCAAAGGAAATGAACAGACACCTCTCAAAAGAAGACATTTATGCAGCCAACAGACACAAGAAAAAATGCTCATCATCACTGGTCATCAGAGAAATGCAAATCAAAACCACAAGAGATATCATCTCACACCAGTCAGAATGGCAATCATTAAAAAGTCAGGAAACAACAGATGCTGGAGAGGATGTGGAGAAATAGGAACATTTTTACACTGTTGGTGGGAGTGTAAACTAGTTCAACCACTGTGGAAGACAGTGTGGCAATTCCTCAAGGTTCTAGAACTAGAAATACCATTTGACCCAGTGATCCCATTACTGGGTATATACCCAAAGGATTATAAATCATGCTACTATAAAGACACATGCACACATAAGTTTATTGTGGCACTATTCACAATAGGAAGGACTTGGAACCAACCCAAATGTCCATCAATGATAGACTCGATTAAGAAATTGTGGCACATATACACCATGGAATACTATGCAGCCATAAAAAAGGATGAGTTCATGTCCTTTGCAGGGATGTGAATGAAGCTGGAAACCATCATTCTCAGCAAACTATGACAAGGACAGAAAATCAAACACAGCATGTTCTCACTCATAGGTGGGAACTGAACAATGAGAACACTTGGACACAGGGCGGGGAACATCACACACCCAGGCCTGTCTGTGGGTGGGGGGCTGGAGGAGGGATAGCATTAGGAGAAATATCTAATGTAAATGATGAGTTGATGGGTGCAACAGACCAACATGGCACATGTATACCTATGTAACAAACCTGCACGTTGTGCACATGTACCCTAGAACTTAAAGTATAATTAAAAAAAAAAAAAGAAACAGAAACAGAAAAAGAAAATGGCCCCAAATGGAAGCAGAGGAAAGCAGCACGGAATGAAGAGCAGCAGAAACGGTGAAAGGACATCAATATGAACAAATGCTCACTATATAAAAACAGTTATGTTTGATAAAACTTAAAATAGAGAAAGAAGATACTTGACAACAAAAGCATAAAAATTGAAAATGGGGTAAATGAAGTTTCAGTTTTTAAATTCTTGCATTATCCATGAAATACTAAAAGTTCTAAATAATGATAAACTGAATAACCAAGGATATATGTGGAAATGTTTAGAATAACTACTAGAAGATTAATACATAAATATGTAACAAGCTAATATGGACAAATGAAATAACATTTAAAAATACTTGATTAATCCAAATAAAGGCAAGATATATATATGTATACTATTATGTAAAGGTAATATACATAATAAACATATATATTTACACATACATATATTTATTATCTATATATTTATACACAAAGTATATATTCATATGCAATATATATTTATATTTCTTTTAATATAAAATATATATTTATATGCTATATATATATATTCCTTTTAAATGGAAGTAAAACTTCAGCATCTGTTGGATATAGGCCTTTGGTTTGTTTTGAAAAAAAATGAGGAAAAAATTAAAACTTAAGTCACAAGAATTTATAATAAATATTGTCAATATATATGTGGCCTATGTAACTATTATATTTAAATCCACAAAGTTGCAGAAGAAAAATTACCCAGGATAGAAACTTTGTAGTAGAGCTCAATAATATATGGAAATTATTTCTAAGGAAAGAAACATAATTTCAAAAACACAGCTAGTTCTGGGGAAGCCAATTTACTTTAAGAAGCTGAAACATTCAGGATAATTTAATGCAGAGGGAGAATGACAAAAATCACCTTTTTTAGGTGATGATGGGAAGTGCGAAGTTTTATTTCTTCAGGTGAAGAAGGCTGTTATTTACTCAAAGGATGTTTGTTCCTAACCCAGGGAAATAGTATTTGATAGATGTGGTTTTATCTTCTGAGACTTCACTGTAGCAATGTTCTGTGAAACCATACTAGAATTAAGAATTTTTATACCTTTGGTAACTGACTCTCCCGATGTAGAGTTGAAAGGGGATGTTTTTACTTAACTATATCATAACAAATCTTTTTATTTATTTGTATGTACACACCCCACCCACACCCAACCCCTCACCACACACACATTGGCATTAGTGAAAGTAACTGACTTATCACAGATGTTCCAAATACTGAAGTTTCAAGATAATAGAAGTTTCTCTGATGAAGGGTCACCAACATCTTTTTTAAGACAACATATTAGCTACTTAGCAGAGAAGTTTTTATAAATTATTATACACTTGCCAATATACTTACATCAACTACAAACCACATAATATATATTTTACTGACAATTAAGGACCATTATTATGAACATTGATCGTTATACTAGCCTATAATGTTCTCAGGGACTGCAGAACTGCTAAAGGTGCTAAACTACTTCTTTTTTAAAGAAAATTATCCTATCTAATTTTTGTGGTTTTCCAGCTTCCTTTCTCGACTTCAGGCCACAGCTGTAGTTTTCACTACTGCCAATGTTTCCACTTTGTCCAGTCTTTTCTAATCTATTATAAATTTGAAAGCCAAGGTCCAACACAATAGAGCATAGGATCTTCATGGATCCTCTCCTGTGAGTTAGATGAATGCTGGACATGGAAAGTGTTTAGAATTTTACCAAAATTACTTTTCTCTTTTTCCACTTATGGGTTTGGGGTGGTATTTTACATAGCTAAGGTTTTCCTATAAGAGAACTACATGGAAGTGAAAAACATATGTTTGTCGATTTTTATTAATAATGCATATAATGTCAGACTCTACTTCCATCTGAACTTTAACCCGTTAACTCTCAGGAAATTGGTTCTACTTAGCTCCTGGATGCAAGGGGGTGGAATGGGATGAGAAGTGAGGGAGAAAGGAGCTAGCACTCACTGAGCCACTGTTGGGGATCCTGCTAGGTAGAGCCACCACTGTGTTACCTCATTTAATTCTTAAAGCCAGTCTATGAGGCACACATTACCAACTTCATTTTATAGTTAAGAGGGAAAGAAACTAACAGACAAAAGCAAGGCTCAGAGGAGTAAAGGAATTTATCAAAAGTCACCCTGCTAGAAAATAGCAGAACTGGGATTCAAACCTTGCTTTGTCTCACTGCCTCCTTTATTCCCTTCCACTATGTAAAAGCTTTGGAAAATCTCAGGGATTAACTAGAAAAGTCCAACGCTAGGGAATGTACTATGGTGAAAACATAGCTCCAATATTCTGGGCAATATTACTGTGGTTCTAAAACTGCACAGAGGGAAAAGATGACATAATAATCTAAAATCTTCTTAAAAAATTGAACAATTTTAAGCAATAAAGGTACATATAGGAGAAAATGCAAGAATAGATTTTAAATGAATCTGAAGTTTCTTTTTGGTGGTATTTTTAAACTTTCCTAAAGAGAAATTGTGGATAACCACCAAGGATCAAAATTAACTTGCATAAGGTATACGTGAGGCAAGGGCAGTGAACTTGAATCTCTAGGAACTCCTTCTAGTGACTCAGGGAATCAAGTAAATTTGCATTAACTGGCTTGGTGGAGTTGGTAAGAGACTATTGCTAAGTCACAAATGGGACTTATAAATTGCCTGATTTGGAGACTAAATGGTGTAAGGGAAAAGGCTGTGGCTACCCTTCCCTAGGAAAGAGTAGAAGACAGGCTTTCACTGGGTATAATTTGAGTTGTAAATGAATGTCCAGTGGAAGAAGTGTATTTGAAAAATGGCAATGTAAAAAATGGACAGAGGTGATAAGTTCAAAGGTGAAAAGATGGATTCAAATGTCACTTGTGTAGACAGGAGCTGAGCTCACAGCTGAGACTAGAGCCACTCAAAACCCAAATACACTGGAAGAAAAGCAGAGGACATAGTTTTGAGGAGACTCCTGATATGGTTTGGATTTGTGTCCCTGCCCAAATCTCATGTTGAAATGTAATCCCGATGGATGCGAGGCCTTGTGGGAGGTGATTGGACCATCAGGGCGGTTTCTAATGGTGTAGCACCATCCCCCTAGAGCTGTTGTCATGATAGAGTTTTCACAAGATCTAGCTGTCTGGTTGTTTAAAAGTGTGTAGTACCTCCCCGCTCTCTCTCTTCCTTCTGCTCTGGCCATGTAAGATGTGCCTGCTTCTCCTTCCCCTTCTGAGGAGTTTCCTGAGGCCTGCCTAGCCATGCTTCCTGCACAGCCTGTGAAACTGTGAGCCAATTAAACCTCTTTTCTTTATAAGTCTCTGGTATTTATTTATAGCAGTGCAAGAACAGACTAATACAGTGGAGAAAACATTAGTTATAGATAATGAAAAGTGATTAAGCAAACTATTCCCTATGTGCTATATCCTATCATTTTGTGCTAACAGTTAATGCTTCATTAAAACTTAAATCATATATGCTGGTTATACTTTCCCCACCATGAATAACAACCCTTCCTTCCATTTTCAGGGCAGCATTTCTTTTTGTGGGTCTTCTTTTGTTTTGGTTCAATTTAGTTTGTGAGTCTGTTATCATCTAATAAACTGATGTGTGGGAGGCAACACAGATGCTGGTAAAATCAATTGAAGAATATGTACATAAATGAAATGATATCTCATGTTTATGGATTAGAAGACTAATATTGATAAAATGTCCATACTACCCAAAGTAATCTACAGATGCAATGTAATCCCTATCAAAATGCCAATGATACTTCTCACAGAAACAGAAAAAATACTCTAAAATATATATGGAACCACAAAATAACCCAAATAGCTAAAACAATCTTGAGTAAAACAAACAAAGCTAAAGGCATGACCCTGATTTCAAAATCTACTACAAAGCTATAGTAGTCAAAACAGCATAGTAGTAGCATAAAAGCAGACATATAAACCAATAGAACAGAAATGAGAGCCCAGAAAAAACTTCATACATTTATGATAAATTAATTTTTGACAAAAGTGCCAAGTGCACACAATAGGGAAAGGACAGTTTAGTTGATAGTGTTGGGAAAACTGGATACCCACCTGCAGAAAGAATGAATGGGACCTTATTTTATGGGACCCATATAAAAAAAATCAACCCAAAGTGAATTAAAGACTTAAACATAAGACCTAAAACTATAAAACTGCTAGAAGAAAGCATAGGGGGAAATGCTATGACATTGGTTTGGGCAATAATTTTTGGATATGAACCCAAATGCACAGGCAACAAATGCAGAGCAGACAAATGGAATTATATCAAATTAAAAATCTTCTGCATGACAAAACAATAAAAACGAAAACAAAACAAAACAACAGAGTGAAGAGACAACCGATGAAATGGGAGAAACATTTGCAAACTGTACATCTGATAAGGGCTTAATATCCAACATATAAGGAATTCAAACAACTCAATAGCAAGAAAACAAATAACCTGATTTTAAAATGAGCAAGGGGGAAAAAAACTAACAAAAGCAAGGCTCAAACGGGTAAAAGAACTTACCAAAAGTCACACTGAATAGGCATATCTCAGAAAGACATACAAATAGCCAACAGTATATTTTTAAAATGCTCAACATCACTAATCATTAGGGAAATGCAAATTATATAATTTGCATAATAATAAAACCATAGTGAGATATCACATGTCAACCAAAACTGAGGCTGTTGAGGCAAAAATAATTTGACAAATTATTTCTGCATTCCAAGTATTGCATTGGAAGCTAGATGTGAGGACTGGACTAGGAAGACATACCAAAAAATTGGGGAGGGTTCTAGAGTCTATTACAAGTTGGAAGGTTTTATAGGAAAATTTAGGAGAAGGGAGGGGGACTCCCCATAGTTTTTAATTGGAGATTATAAAACAGAGGTTGCAATCTAGATACAGATTGCAATGTACAGGCTGAAATGTCTATATGCAAGACAATCAGTAATACTTTATGATTTAGAAATAAAATCAGTGTCCTTTTCAGTGTCAGTAAGCTATGCCTTAATCAATACATTAACAATTTGAGGAACTCATGATAAGATTCATCACTAAGGGACAGGTTGTCAGCATGAATCACAAGACCTTCCCAAGGTGGGTTAATTTGGAAGCCTGTTTACTTTTAAAGTGAACTGTCAAATGTGACCTGTAGGTTATTTCCCTTTTTGATCAAAAATCTTCCCATGGAAACATTGATACTCAATCTCTGCTTAAGTTAGAGTGACAGACATTCTTTATTTCTCAGCACTGGGAAGGCCCATTCCTAGGAAGTCATGTCCCTCAGCAAGAGGAAATAACTTTGTTATCACAGGCAGGCAAAATTACTAGCAACATCAGGCAGGTCATGAGACAGGCTACATGTTAGTTTCCTGAATAAAGAATCATCTCCAGTCACTGGGAGACATTAGCTGTTGATCTCAAGGAATCTAATATTCAGTCCAAATTGTAGGCAAATAGTAATAAAAATAAATCAAAAACAATGGGCAAGTCTAGAATCAAAAAGCAGGTATACTATAATTTTCTTCTGAAACATAATTACTCTCTCTCCAGTCCTCCTTTTTTACCAAAGACAAATAATGAGACCAATTTTGTTCGCAATATAAGTTTTTGTCTTATCATAATTGGCCTAATTATTTGCGTAAAGTACAACAAAAATAGTGATCAGCCATATAGGCTCTTTTAAGTTGACTTTGCTGGAACGTTTTCATAAGGGCTTTTAGATTAGACTTTTAACAACTCCTTCAGGCTAGGGAGCCAAGCCAAGGATTCACCATCAGACTGTGCCTATAATACCTGTATGAAATGGGTGAATTTCTCTCTTCTTGAGGTGCCCAAAATATCTGGAGGTTCCTGGGCCTGTCAGAAAGTGACATTCTTTAATTACTGCAAGGTCAGGAACTCCGTAAAGAAACTATGTAGACAAGGTACCAGGCCAGTCTTTTCCAAGTCTATTGGCTTTACAAAGTCAATTTCAATCCCTCAAAGCAGTCTTGTCATATTTGAAAATATGACATTATAGTCAAAGCCTTGGTAAAATAACCAATGTTTCCAATGTGACTTAATACAAAAGAAAACAGAATTGAATCAAACTTATGCAAATAAATATATTGCCATAAAATAAGAACACTTAGGAATAGTTTCCAAACTCTCTGGAGAATTTAGGTAGAGAGAAAAAGGTAAATCTTTCAATTTTGCTCACAAAAGTATACTTTAACCAATTGCTGTAAGATATAAATAGCTCAAATGAAAAAAAAATTCTTGACTGGAAAACAAGTATGGAAAGAATCAGCAATGTTTCAAACAGTCATAAAAATCATTTTAGTCCTCTATCAGTTTAGTTTCATGTAATTCTTGTTTTGCTTTGTGTTGGGTTTGCTGTCTTCATGAATCCATCAGTTTATTAGTAGAGTTATGGAAGTTTTTACCTAATACATTGATCTTAACATTATCAGAAATCTGTGTTCAAGAGTAGTTGTTAGAGTCTTTTCCATGAAAAGCAATTTTGGACTATAGCTCATTGTAAATGCTTTTAGTAAAGAATTCAAAATAATAACTGTGGATAACAAAAACTTAAAATAGTCATGTTTAAAATCTAGTGGAAGACAAAGAAATTTAGTTGTTTCTATTATATGTGGCATTTTAAAACAAAAAACAGAATCATGACTGACAGCATCACATCATGATTTCCAGACTTTTATAAATTTCATGTAATCTCTACAATATTCCTATTAATAATACATCCATACAAATATAACTTTGGAAAAGATTTAATATAGTCAAAATTATGACTCATAACATTAGATTTTTATAAATTTATATAATTCTGGGGATATTTATATCAATAACATGCCCATAAATATAACTGAAAGAAGATCTAGTACCATTTATCATTTGACAATGTTTCTCATACAATTTACCAAATAAGCCTAATAATTTAATATCTCTACAAGACATATTCTTTGAGGTTCTCCAGAGGTCTAACTAGAAAACCCTAAAGTTAATTTTAGGGGAAACAGCCTACTTTAGGAGTTGATTTGGGGGAAGTTTGTCAAAGATGTCAAAAGTTCCAAGCATTTGATGAAAACAGAATCGCCAGTCACTGTTAATTAATACTTATTCATTTAACCAGAGTGGTAATCAAAAGACTTCAAAAGCAATAAAGAAAGTTACATGGATGTAAAACCCTTAATCCTTTTAAAGAAACCAAAACCAAGTAAGGACAACACAGAAATTATCTTGATAAAAGGAAGTTTCAAAAAGAAATGGATTTTAGAATTTTAAAATAAAAATCTTTTGCAATTTTATTAAAAGAAAATGAATACTTTACAAAAACCTTGTTATAATACAGGGGACCACATTTTTTTAGTTTTGTTCTAGCATATTTTCAATGTCAAAGCTTAATCTTTAGAAAACTTAGAAATAATTTCTTTAGAATTATAGCCAACTTAATCACACACAAAATTGTTTTCATAAATTCTCTTTTCACGAACCTTATCATGACATAGGCAGACCATTGAAAACACGCTTGGACTTTCTGCTTTGTCCTGTATTTCCTCTTTCTTAAATAACCAGTCATTTTACATTAGGACAAAACTTTATCATATGAGATTCTTTCTCATACAAAATTATTCTCTTTTCTTTTTAACCTTCCTTACCAAAAATGCATCTTCATATCCATAACCTTCTTCATATTTTTCTCTCCTAGTTACTTGTTCCTTTTTAATCTTGTTTCTTTCTCCTTCCTAAGTCCATATTTTGAAACAACCTTTAAGTAACCTACAAATTAGACAAAATTATTTTTTCTTTCTCAATAAAGAACACATTTTTATAATAATTTTTATAATAAAGAACACTTCTTATAATTTTTTCTTATCAAAAACACATCTTATTTTTGGCACATTCTATATATAAAATTATATATAAATATTAATTAGAACTTTTAACTCTCAGTAACCTTACATTTTAGTGACAACCTCGACAACAAGAATCTTTGCTTGTCACATATCAGTGTCTTATAAATGAAAACCATTTTATAATCTTTAGAAACATGTTTTCTTATAATATGTTTACCTTAATTGGAAATGACCCAGACATTTAATAGTATCTATTATTTAATTTAACATAGCTTTAAGATTTCAAATTACATGAAAAGTTCCTCTAGAGGTGTATCTCATTGACAGTTATCTAATTTATTTATTTTTAACAGCTTACCTAGAATATTTATGAAAACTGAAATATTAGACAAAGCTAGTCAACATTTCAAGTTATTTTACTGCTAACCACGTTTATAGTCTGTGAATATCAGATATTCACTTAAGTAAGAAGCTTAAAGTTAAATTTATGGATATTTTGCCAAAAACTCAGAAGATGGTTGTTCTTATTAAACTAGTCTTACATGCTAAAAGATCTATTCAAGTGATATGAATTTACAAAGTATTTTGGCTTACTAATTGATGAGTGCTTATTTATTTATAAACCAATTTGGTACCATGTAAACAATATACAAATACAGACATGTGTACATGTACATATAAAAATACAAACAGATGCAAATAAAGATTTTATAGCTTTGCTTTTAAAATTTTATTCATGAGTCAGGTAAAACTCACCAGCTTAAAAGAACAGTTGAATTAAATTGTGCCTCTGTAAATACAACAAGTTAATCTGTCTTCCATGGCTGAAGATCTTACCGAGTACAGTAAATTTACATCTCAAGGCACAGAGACATAATTTAAGTTTTCTAAAAGGCCAGTGAAGTTTTATATCTGCAAGGGACTGTGAGGTCTAGCAGCACATTTAAAGAGTATTATCTGATATTTGGTAAAAGGTTTAATCAGGTTTACTTCCACTTTAATGGAGGTGGCTGTATGTATTTTACTAATGTATATGGAAGACCACAAATGGTTTGGCAAAGCTAGCAATAAACCATAAAATGTGTTGATCATTAGTACCACTTTAGAAAAAACTTGTTGGATCTGTATTTTTAGAATCTCAGTAGTTTCATTCTCATTCTGCAGTTGTTCCATTTGCTCCTTCTGTTTTAAATTTAAATACATTTTAACTCCCTTGAAAGAAGTAAATGAGTCCATTGTGAAATTCCAAAAATCTCTGCCTAAGAGATGTATGGGAGCCCAAGGAACAAGCAGAAGGGAATGAGTTCATATAAGAGAGAAGATGAAAGAACAGGGGTAGACAAGGAGGAGCCATGGGGAAGAAAGGGAGAGAGCCTTCTAAGTATTTTTCAACTAATGTACAATGGTTTGAATGGTTTTAAATATCCTTTTGTTTACCTCTTGAATGGAGGCATTTTTTTTTTTCAAAGAATTTCTTTTAGAAGCTTCTAGGTGCTGTTGGAAGTAAGTCTCCCATTCAATCTGGCTCCAAAACCAACTTTTTCCATTTGTGTGCACAGATAAATTATTTTAGGCATTTTCAAAACATCCCCATTTTGGCCACTGCTGCTGATGACCATCCTGGGTTAGATGGGTCCACTTATCCAAGTACTTGCAAGTAAAACAACATGAAACCAGCTAGTGTCAACAGAGGTGGTATACCTTCAGTCTGGATGCATTTTCCTGGCTGCTTTGAGCAAGACAAGCTCTATAAGGGGTCAGGTGTGCTGACTATGAATCTTTCCTCTGGGGATTTCATACAATGGGCTGAAAAGAGTTCTTATGTGTCTTGGACTCCCAAGTCACCTCCAAAGAAGGGTCGGGATGCTCGGGGCAAGAGATGATCAGTCCTTCTAAAGCCTACAAGCTGAGCAAAAAGTGAACAGTTTGGCCAGAGGGAGTAAATGTCTCATCTTTGGAGCAAGAGTGCCCTCATGTGATTGAGAAGGAGAAAACTAAGGAAAGATTGTCTCACCTAGCCTCCAGGGAAACAATTCACTGAGCTCCTATTTTATTCTGCCCTAAAATTCCCAATAAAACCCTTCCCTTGAATTGGTAGCAGTAACTCTTGTGCTGAAAGAGTCATTGTACCTCCTGGCCAGGGAGGAAACTAGCTTCAATAAACCAGAACTTCAGCCAAGATGTGAGGGTTCCAGGAGGAACCCATCTGTAGCACCCAGCAGGAGCATTTAAATTTGGGAACACAATAGGTTCATTACTGGTACATGCATAATGGTCAAAAGCCACATTGGATGATCCAGGGAAGTTGCTCTGGAATCCTGCTGATTATAACAGAATGTTGACTGAAATTAAGGTTCTTAAGGCAGAAATAATTTGATAAAGTTACTTTGGAAGCCAAATGTGAGGATCAACCCAGGAAGACACACCAACAAAATTGGGAGGGTTCCAGAGTCCGTTACAAGTTAGAAGGCTTTTGTAGGAAAATTTAGGAGAAGGGAGGGGGACTACTCATAGGAGTTGTCCTTTTTCATTGGCGAGTACAATATAAAAGTTACAATAATTGGATACAGATTGCAACATATAGGCTAAAATGTCTATGTACAAGACAACCAGTAAAACTTTGTAATTTGAAAACAAATCAGCATCCTTTTCAGTGTCAGTAGGGTATGTCTTTATTAGTACATTAACAATTAGAGGAACTCATAAGGTTCATTACTGAGGGACAGGATGTCACCATGAATTATAAGACCTTCCCAAGGTGGGTTAATTTGGAAGCCTGTTTACTTTTAAACTGTCAAATGTTACAGTCAAATGTTAAACTGTCAAATGTTGTAGCTTATCACACCTTACACCTGTTAGACTGGTTATTATAAAAAAAAAAAAAAGATGAAAGATAAGTGTTGGCAAGGATGTGGAGAAAAGGAAACCTTTGCACACTGTTTGTAGGAATTAGTACAACCATTATGGAAACAATACGGAGGTTCCTCAAAAAACTAAAAACTTAACTACCATTGGATGATCCAGCCATCCCACCAAGGGGTATATACCTAAAAGAAATGAAATCAGTGTGTTGAAGAGATATCTACACTTCCATGTTCATTGCAAAATTATTCGCAATGGCCAAGATATAGAATCAACTTAAGTGTCCATTAACAAATGCATGGATACAGAAAATTTAATATATATATATATCTCCAATGGGACAGTATTCAGCCTTTAAAGAAGAAAATCCTGCCATTTGCAACAACATAAATGAAACTGGAGGACATTACACTAAGTGAAATAAGCCAGACACAGAAAGACAAATGCCATATGATCTCACTTACATGTGGAATTTAAAAGAGGACTCACAGAAGCAGAGAGTAGAATGGTGGTGGTTACCAGAGGCTGGTGGTGAGGGGGGGCTGGAGGATGTTTGTCAAAGAATACAAAGTTTCAGTTAAACAGGAGGAGTAAGCTCAAGAGATCCATCATACAACGTGGTGACTACAGTTAATAACAATATATTGTGTACTTGAAAATTGCTAAGAGAAACTTTAAGCATTCTCACCATAGAAAGTATGTGAAGTAATACATATGTTAAATAGCTTGATTTAGCCATTCCACAAAATATACATGTATCAAAACATCATGTTGTATTCCAAAAATATATACAATTTTTATTTGTCATCTTAAAAAATAAAATAATTTTTATAAGGAAGTCTGGTGCTTTTTGCCTTTTGGCGTCAGAATGTAACAGACATATAACCATCAGAATATAACCATCTCCATCGACTGATTTGACTCGGGTTCAAAATGTAATAGCCAGAAAACAGTGAAGAAACACTATTTTTTAGGACAATGGTAGTCATATGTATTTAAGGATGCAGATATGCCAGTGATTTCTGTCACAGAGAGGCCCTAGTTTTGCTGGATATCAATCAAAACAGCCTTCAAAGAATGAAATATACATGTCAGGCTTGCCAAAAAAATGTTTAGGGTCTCCCTACTAAGTTACTTAGAAAAGAGAGTTTAAATGAAATAGTGCATTTTCTGGATCCCTGGGAAACAAAACATAATCAAAACTAGTTTATTCATTTGGATGTCTACAACTGCTATAAAGTGAACTACTATTATCTCCGTTTTCAGATGAGGAGACTAAAGTGCAAGAAGCCAAATAACTTGCACAACATTTTGCCAGAATCTAAGCTATGGCAACCATATAACAACTCGTTCCCTATCTCCTTTTCCTGGTCTCCTCCCTACTGGAACAACTGTCTCAGACCAGTGAAATGTGCACACTTTGACCTGTGGCCTTAAGTGTCTTCTTCACAGTGCCCAAGGATAGATGTGTTCCTGGATAATCTGAGTTAATATGTTGAAAGCGTATTTCCAAAGACTACATATTACAGTGGCATTTGAGTTGTTTAGTCTGCATTTAGCATAAACAGCATTCAGCTGTGTGCTAAGCTGAACCAATAGCCACCTTGTCTAACGCTGTTTCTTGAGGAAATATGCTTCAAATACTAAATATCAGATTTTTAAATTAATCGCTGGAATGCTGGAACACAACTTCTTTCTAAATTGGGGTTATAACTCACATATAAACTCCCCTTAATTATGATGAGAATTAATAAAATTTTGTAACTGTAAGTAAATCTTATCTAAAAGATAAAATCTTTTTTTTTTTTTTTTTTTTTTTTGAGACAGGGTCTCACTCTCACTGTACTCTCACTGGAGTACAGTGGCACGATCCTGGCTCACTGCAGCCTCCACCTCCCAGGCTTAAGCAACCCTCCCACCTCAGCCTCCCGAGTAGTTGGGACTACAGGTGTGCATCACCACGCCTGGCTATTTTTTTTATTTTTTGTAGACAGTGGGTTTCACCGTGTTCCCCAGTCTGGTCTCAAACTCCTGGCTCAAGCAATCCACCTGCCTTGGCCTCCCAAAATTCTGGGATTACAGGCATGAGCCAGCACGCCGGGCTGTTTTAAGCTCTTACAGTTACAATCAGCCACTTTTATTCATACATTACTTGTGAAGAGATTTTTTTTCCCCTTGCAACTACAAATGTCAGCTGACTCTTTTCTCTGTGGCTGATTTATGTCAGAAAAGGCACATCTCAAATGTATACAGTAGTGAAGACTTCATCTCTCCTTCATAGGAGCTAATTGAATATGGCGCCTCATCTTCATCCTGGCATGTGGGCATTGAGTGTAAGAAAAAATAATAGTCACTAATGACAACCTGAAGTGGGTGCTGGTTACTAGGTTTGGGATAGATGGCTCCATAGAAGAATTTAAGATTATATTCAACTTCACAGATGAACATGAGGCAGAGGCGGAGAGAGGTCGGAGAATAGCCTTGAATTTGAGAAACAAAGGGACATTTCTCAGCAAATAAGAAATAAATGGCTTCTTTCATCCTAGAGGCTGTTATGGAGAAATAGAACCCCTTTATTTGTTAAACAAATATCCCAAATGTGCAGTATGCTTTATACAGGACCACAGGTAAACATATTGGCTATGGTATTCTTAACAAAACCCATTGCAGCTCTTCTTAAAGCATGGCCTTCTATATATCCATATATTTGATTAGCCCAAGGGGAAACAGCCCAGGGAAACACTATCGTTAGAACACATACTTCATAAAAGAATGGATACCCCATATTTAAAATATTCTTACCCCATTTCCCTGTCCAGTGCATGTGGATGTGTTGCCTTTGTTTCACTCTTGCACCCACCTTGGCACTAAACTCCTCTTCTTCACCAATTCCTGAAAAAAAAAATAGGTCACAGCAAGTTTTTCAGAATTTGTAAACTTATTGAACATTTGGGACATTTTTTTAGGAGATACTACACAGCACTCCAGCATTTCTCTTATCGCTTTTCCTTCTCCTTTACTGTTTTCATCAATGTCTTCTCCTTCCTTGTTCAATTTAATTCAGTATGCCCCTCTGTCTGTTAGGACAGGCTGGGTTGTTCTCTGGCCAAAATAATCTGAACACTAGGGCCTTAATACAAACATTTACAGAGGAATGAGCCTTTCATTGATGTACTTTCAGAGTAGTTATAGAGATTATCTAAGCCTAAGCTTCACATTTATATCTTTTATACCATGGATAGTTATTCAGATACTAAAAACATTGTAACAAGGTGGACTTTACGGTTTCCTAAGAGGTAAAGTTAACTTTATTTTGTCCTAATGGTTCCTAAATTAGTATTTGCTTCTAAATCAAAAGATAACTTTAAAAAATTCAGATATGTGAGCTCTACTTAAAAACATTTGGATTCGGTGGACTTGATGTGGGGTCCATGGCTCTACATTTTTAACAAGCTCCCCAGGTAATTATCCAGGTTTGAGAACCACTCCTCCAGTTCAGGGGTCAGCAAACCTGTGAGCTAAATTCAACCAGTCACCAGTTTTTTAAAATAAAGTTTTACTGGAATGCAGACACGCCATTTGTTTGTGTATGGTGTGGGGCTGCTTTTGTGCTATAATGGTAGAATTGAGTAATGTGACAGAGACTAAAGACTGAAATATTTACTATTTGGTCCTTTATAGAAAAAGCTTGCTGATCCTACTCTTGTCTGTTTCATAATAATTTCCAGAGTCATGTTATTACTTGTGATGGGAACTAAGTAAGGCAGTGTAGATGACTGTTAATGAAGGCAACACCCAGACTGTCGTCTTCACAAGGTGATCCTTTTTAATACATACAGCCAAATTATTTTTTTCCTGAGTTACACTGACCCCTAATGGTAGAAATGTTAAATCACAGCTGCTTGATCACAGTTTTCCCCTATTGTTAATTAGTTCCTAAAATTAGGGTCATACTTACAGACTTTGTAGTAGGAGACTTTAGAAGTCAGAGTTCACTTGGTAGAACTGAGCAGGACTAAACAGCCTGGGAGAAGGTTGGCAATTTTGGTGAGAGCTAGAATCCCTTCCTTTTGCAGAGTTCCTTTGTCTTCAAAGACTGTTACTCAATGAAGCATTTCCAATTATACAGGTCATTTATTCCAAAGTGATAAATTTTATCAGGACATTATGACCATTTGTGATGCCATGTCTATCTCTAAAGTTGAAGCACAATACTATCGATATAGTCAAAATTACATTTGCCTTCACTATGATGAACTGCGAAGAAAGGTCACAGAGGAATCTGTATACATGTAAACAGATACTGAGATGGTTACCAATGGGGATCACACACATGTTGGCAATAATGAGATGGCCGAGGTGAAACCATTGGTTTTTAACCTTGACTACTGATTAAAATCCGCTGGGGAGCTTTAAAAAATTAATGATGTTCAGACCTCAACTCCTGGAAATTCTGATCTAATTGGTCTAGGGTGAGGCCCAGGCAGCAGTCTTTATTTTTTTAAGTTCTCCAGGTGATGGTAATGTGCAGCCAAGGTTAAGAACCATTTTTCTACAGTAGTGCTTCTCAAATTTTAATCTATATTCACATCACCTGGGAGATCTTTTTAATCTGCAAATTGTGATTCAGGAGGTCAGTGATAGCATGTGAGAATCTGATTAACAAGCTTCAGGGTGATGTTGATGCTACTGCCTGAGGACCATGCTTTGAGTAGCGAGGAATTAGATCATCCCTAGCCACAATTTTTATGCAGTCTCAGTGTTCTGAGATCCTAAAGTACATAAGCATCACCTGGGAAGTAACTAAACATGCAAAATTGTCAAGGTCCCCAAATTTTTACCAAATGTCCCAAGTGATTGTGAGATTCATAGTCTGAAGACCAAATACACACTACTCTACCCAAATGATATTTATTCTACCAATCCCATTTAAAAAAAAATGGCAGGCCGGGTGCGGTGGCTCAGGCCTCTAATCCAGGACTTTGGGAGGCCAAGGTGGGTGGATCATGAGGTGAGGAGTTCAAGACCAGCCTGGCCAAGATGGTGAAACCCCGTCTCTACTAAAAATACAAAAAAATTAGCCGGGGGTGGTGGTGCACGCCTGTAATCCCAGCTACTCGGGAGGCTGAGGCAGAAGAATCGCTTGAACCCAGGAGGCAGAAGTTGCAGGGAGCCGAGATCGTGCCACTGCACTCCAGCCTGGGCGAGAGAGCGAGACTCCGTCTCAAAAAAAAAAAAAAGACAGTAGCATTGTTTATCAATTTATAGGCTGCCCGATCAAATGTAGAGACATTTTTTCTTATTCCAGGTGAAAAGACAAATTACCAAAATGTAATGGCTCAAACCAACAGTAATTTTATTATATCTCATGATTTTGTGGGCCAGAAATGTGGGCAGAGGTTGGCTGGGTGATTTTCTCCCCTGTAGTGTATACAGAAGTCACTTAATTTCTAAGTAGTGAATGCACTAGTCTGAAGAGTCCAAGATGGCTTCATTTTACATGTCTTGGTACTCTGGTTGGAAAGCTGGGCCCAGCTGAGACTGTCACCTGGAATGCCTACATATGACCTCTTAATTTGGGCAGTCTCAGGTTAGTAAGTCTTTACATGGTGGCTCAACACTCCCGAGTGTTCCAAGACACAAGAAGTGGAAGTCGCCATTCTCTCAAGACCTGGGCTTGGAAACTGGCACAGTGTCATTTCTGCCACATTCCACTGGTCCAAGCGGTCAGAGTTCACTCAGGTTCAAAGTGAGGAGTCATATACAGGCTTGCTTCATGGCCATGCAACCCCATGTGCAGTAACGCAGGGCCCAAAACTCAAAAGGGCCCCATACTTGGCTTAATGCTCTGCTGTAGCCATCTTGAAAATATTTATAATTTTTGAATAAGGGGCATTACATATTCATTTTTCACTGGGTCCCACAAATTGTGTAGCTGTCTTAGCTGTCTTTTCTATGGGAGGACTATTAAAAAAAAATGTGGCCATCTTTAGTAAGTTATAAGCCACCTGCCAAATATTTTATTCTCACTATATTTCTGTATTAAAAGTTATTCTTTCAAAATGCAGACTGAAGTACGTGGGTTAAATTCAGCATGAAGAAAAACAGGTTATGAGGTTAGAAATAATGTCTTTTTTTTTTTTTTAAAGACGTAGTCTCGCTCTGTCGCCCAGGCTGGAGTGCAGTGGCGCCATCTCGGCTGCAAGCTTCGCCTCCCAGGTTCACGCCATTCTGCTGCCTCAGCCTCCCGAGTAGCTGGGACTACAGGCGCCTGCCACCACGCCTGGCTAATTTTTTTGTATTTTTAGTAGAGACGGGGTTTCACCGTGTTAGCCAGGAAGAAATAATGTCATTTTTTAGGATTAAGAAATTTGGTCACTTTGGCATTGACCAATAGTAATCTAAGATCAGTACGCAAGTAGGGTGGAGAAATGTGGATTAGAGGCATGTCACTGGATAGAAATGACGTGGGGAAAGGAGAGATGCATGCTTCAGAGCACTCAGTTCCAGACTGTAGAATCTGAATGTACTCCCCAAGCTGTAGGAAGTTAGCATAGTGAGTTTGGTTATTTGTTGGAGAGAATGGGTGATGGCTATTTTATCTTCTTACTCAAGCATAGTTATGGAAGTGTTCAGCTGAGGCCCATTCCAAAGGAGGTACTAAGATGCAAAAATGTTCAAAGGGTTTAGTCAGAAACCTAGTGGATGATCCTTAAACCCCTGATCCACATGGAGAATTCAAAAATTTGAAGTTAGAAATCAGAACGGATTTGAAAAGGTAGAAAGTTCTTAAGGTACTGTGATGGTGGAAATATTTCCCTTTATCTCAGGAGACCACCTGAAGAAATTAGTATATACACTCTGGATTTTGAAGAATGCAAAGGCCTAGTATGACTACTTCCTGAAGAAAATCTAAAGGGTAAGAGAAGAGATGACTAGCCACTTTGATGGAGGGAATGAAGGAGAGACTGGTGTGCGGTCTCCAATGTCCCATGCCGCAATGAGTTAAAAAACTTAACCTTGTCTAAGGATTGTCCCTGGTGGTTTCAGACTGTAAAATCTAAAAGCTCTTTCTTTGCTGGCATTATTCCTTGCTGGTCATTCTATCTACATGCATACTGAGAGAGAGATATCGCGGGAAGCACATAGCAGGCACTCCATAAATTTTTCAGATTTCCCAACTGCTTCCAGAAAGGAGTTTCCGGTCAGGCACGGCGGCAGCGAAAGAAATAGCTGCAGCGTTTGTAGAGCAGCTGGGACCCAGGCCTGTGCTCCCTGTGAGGCACGCCCGCCAGGGAGCCTCGAGCCGGGCGGAGACAACGGAGAGAAGCCCTATGTCGGAGCACCACTCCACCAGCGTTCGGAGCACCCCTCCACCAGCGTCCGGTCCACTGCTGGTCCTGCACAGTCGCCACTCCCCCCATCCTTCCTGCTAGCCCCGCCCTTCTTGCTAGCCCGCCTGGCCCTGTGTGCTTTCTCGACCCACCCCCGTTTGCCCTGCCCCGCCCACATGCCCCGCCCCACTTGCCCGGCCCCTCTTGTTGTCCCGCCTAGCCCTGCTGCCCCGCCCCGTCCCCCTCGCCCATCCCCCCAGTTCCGCTGCCCCGTCCCGTTCCGCTGCCCCGCCCCTCCAGTTGCCCCACCCCCTTCCGCTCTCCCTCCCCGCCCCGTTCCGCTGCCTCGCCTCGTCCGGCTCTCCGGCCCCGCCCCGCCCCGTTCCGCTGCCCCGCCCCGTCCTGCTCCCCCGCCCCGTCCTGCACCCCCGCCCCGCCCAGTTCTGCTGCCCCGCCCCTCCTGTTTCCCCGCCCCATCCCGCTCCCCCGCCTCGCCCCGTTCCGCTGCTCCGCCCCGTCCCGCTGCTCCGCCCAGTCCTGCTCTCCGGCCCCGCTCCATCCCGCTGGCCCGCCCCGTCCCGTTCCGTTCCTCTGCCCCGCCCCGTCCCGTTCCGTTCCTCTGCCCCACCCCGTCCCGTTCCGTTCCGCTGCCCAGTCCTGCTGGTACTCACTAGGTAGTAGCGGCAACGGACGCCATGGGGACCGCCTCGTCGCTCGTGAGCCCCGCGGGCGGGGAAGTGATCGAGGACACGTACGGGGCGGGCGGCGGCGAGGCCTGCGAGATCCCGGTGGAGGTGAAGCCCAAGGCCCGCCTGCTGCGCAACTCGTTCCGCCGAGGCGCGGGGGCGGCAGCAGGGGCCGGGCCCGGGTCGCTGCCCCGCGGGGTGGGCGCGGGCGGGCTGCTGGGGGCCAGCTTCAAGTCCACTGGCTCGTCGGTGCCAGAGCTGGAGTACGCGGCGGCCGAGTACGAGCGGCTCAGGAAGGAGTACGAGATCTTTCGCGTCAGCAAGAACCAGGAGTTGTTGTCCATGGGCCGCCGCGAGGCCAAGCTGGACACGGAGAACAAGCGGCTGCGGGCCGAACTGCAGGTAACGCCGGGCTGGGCCGCGACGCCGGGAGACCCTTGGGAAGCACGGCCGTCCTGCTCCCTCTCCAAACCAAGCGGCTTTGAAAGTTCGGCGGAAACTGCCCATTTTAATTTGAGAGGCCATATTCTCTTCGAGTCTGAAATGATTCCTTAACCCTCCCCTTTTTCTGTCTCTTTTTTTGGAGACAGGGTCTCGCTGCGGTGGCACGATCGCGGCTCACTGCAACCTGGAACTCCTGGGCTCAATGATCCTCCCGCCTCGGCCTCCTAAAGTTCTGGGATTACAGGAGTGAGCCACCGCGCCTGGTCCCCGCTTTTCTATTTCTGGTTTATTCATTGAGGCACCTAGAAGAAATTAGCCGGAAAGTGTCCTGAGGAGGCAAATGCCAATCTCCAGCTCCACTGCCGCCCCCGCGCCCACCCCCTCAGAAGGCTGGTGACATCTGTTGAAGCAACTCAGCAAACTCTTCCTAGGAGTTTCACCCCCCTCCCCACCATAAAAATTTTAAGTGGGTCTCCAAAGTGGGGCTCAAGTGTCGGTTTCTTTGTAAAGTTTCATCGCTCTTGCATTTTAATGGTCTTGACATGAAAATTTCTGGAAGCCTCCTGATCTCACCATGGTTGAAAACCTTCTCTAGATGTAGTCAAATTTCCCTAGTCCATTTGATTAATTTACGCTAAAAGCAATTATTGCATGCCCTCCATGTAGCAGGTCCATTATAATTCAATAAAATAGTATGTAAAGCAGCCGGGCGTGGTGGCTCACGCCTGTAATCCCAACACTTTTCGAGGCCTAGGCGGACGGATCACCTGAGGTCAGGAGTTCGAGATCAGCCTGGCCAACATGGTGAAACCCCGTCTCTACTAAAAATACAAAAATTAGCCGGGCATGGTGGCACGCGCCTGTAATCCCAGCTACTCAGGAGGCTGAGGCAAGAGAATTGCTTGAACCCGGGAGGCGGAGGTTGCAGTGAGCCGAGATTGCACCATTGCACTCCAGCTTGGGTGACAGAGCGAGACTCCGTATCAAAAAAAAAAAAATAGTATAAAGCAAGAGGTTGCTTTTCTGTGAACGAATCTCTAAAACTTTTTGCCCTCAGTTTGGGGCCCCTCTGGTCGTTGTTGTGTCGTTTGTGTACTCTTTACTGTGGGAGAGACTTATAGGCAGCCTAAGAGTTCCCGGAGTCGTTACAGTCGGGGTGAAATAAATACCTCAGACTGATTTTTCTAAAAGAAAAAAAGCCTCCTGTCTTCAAGACTAGACATTCTTCTAGTCAGGTTTTGTTGTTGTTGTTGTTGTTGTTTTTGTTTTTAAACTCCCTCATTAGCTGTTGTGTAATTATTGTCGTTGTCTGGGAAGAAGTCCGTGTAGCAGTTTATCTGTTGTCTTATCAGTTTTCCTACTGGGCAACCTTAATGCACTTGCATGTATAAAATGGACTAGTGCATTTCAAATATCTGATTCAATGTATCCAAGCCACTGCCCAACAGACACCGCACGTTGGAAACAACTGTGAGGTGGGGGTAGAAAAGGCCAAACCAAACAGGGCGGAGTGCAATAAGGGTTGGCAAGTGTCACAGTCACTCATGTCACCAATCCTGATTCCCTGTGAAACATACTGGTTCCTTTCTCACATATCGAGGCATGAAAAAACTTATCCATATTTATTTCATTCATTGTGTCAGACATTTACTGGAGACTTGCAGTGTACCAGGCACTGTGAAGTGCTCAAGGGATGGTGAGATGAATAAGACATAGTGCCAACAGGCACACAGTCTCTTAGAACTACTTATCCTTCAAGTTAAGCCTTACAAAATGTAATTTTTACTATCACAAAGATGGAAAAGGCATAAGGAAGTTTAAGAGCTGATGCAGTGTTTCAAAAAAAGTTAATTTCCATTGAAAGCTTAATGTTGGTCTTTATTTGTGGTAGTTCAAGCATGGTTGCGGTTTTTTTCCATCATGTTTTGAATAAAATGGCAACATGAAGTTCCTGATAATTGGTAAAATAATAAGTAGACTTAAAATTCTAAGATACGTAACATATATATATATATATGTATATATATAAGAATGTAAAATTGAGGAGCAAGACTATTTTTGTTAGGAAATAACAAGGTAAATTATTCTAGGCACTTCAAAAAACGTATCAGAAGATACTTCGAGAAAAAGAAAGTGCTTTAGAAGCGAAATACCAAGCAATGGAGAGAGCAGCAACATTTGAACATGACAGAGATAAAGTTAAAAGGCAATTCAAGGTAAATTCCTTACATTTTTACCCCCAAAGCAACATAGAATAAAATAGTATATTCTAAAAGTATATATAATATATAATGCGATGAATAAATAGAAGTAAGTCATGTAGGATTCAGGAAAGTTGTAAGAATTAGTGTAGAGCACTTTCACATTTTTGAGTTGGACGTGGTAAACTTGAGATCATTTCAAAGAAAAACGTATGAAAGTGAACATTTTAATAGTAATTTCGAAAAAAAGGAAAGCGTTTCCATATGGGGAAAAGCATTTGGAAATGTTTAGGGATGTTGTATTATTGGTATTTAGTGGGAGAGAGACAAATTTCCTAAACATCATGCAGTGCACATGACAGACCCACACCACAGACACGCATCCTGCTGGAATTCCAGTGGCTTCCAGTTGCAAAACAGTAAGGTAAAGGTACTAGGACATTCACCCTATGAAAGAGGAAATCGAGGACCAAATGAATATTGGTTTTATGAATGAAATATTTTTCCCTTAAAGTTGATGACACAACTTTTTGATTATGAAAAAGCTTTCAACATTAAAATTATTCTTTTTAAAGATTTTTAGGGAGACCAAAGAAAATGAAATTCAGGACTTACTGAGGGCCAAGAGGGAGTTGGAGAGCAAACTTCAGAGGCTACAGGCTCAGGGTATCCAAGTATTTGATCCTGGGGAGTCTGATTCAGATGACAACTGTACAGATGTCACTGGTAAGTGTATATCCTATTTATATTTTGAGCTTTCAACATGGCTGTAATGACATGTAGAGCCAACTTTGAATTCTGCTAGATTTCTTTTACTTATCTATATTAGGTTATTGCTTTAACTACTGTTGCAAATAGTGTCGTGTGTTCTCTCTGTCAGCTGCTAAGACACCTCTTCTCCACGAAGTGTATGAATTTGGGGACTGAAGTTCCTTCTACCTTGTCACTCTGCCAACCCTAACCCATAACTTTTACTCTCTAGTCTAAGATATCTACCCCAGCTCCCACCAGCACATCTGCATTTTAGCCAAGGGAAAGAAGGAAGGGGAGAACACGTTCCTTTCCCAGAAGGTACAACCTAAGATCACTTCTCAAATCCCATTAGTCAGAACTATAACTGGGAAGACTGGATAGTGTAATCAGCAGCCAGGCAGACATGTGTCCAACTAAAATGTAGTGTTCTGTTACTGAAGAAAGAAGAGGAGAATGGATATTGGAGTTACTAGTCTCTGCAATGTTATTTCTTTACATAATGATGTATTCTTTGCAACTATCATTTAGAATACTTGCCTTATAGTTCACTGAGTGGTTTCCAGTATAGCCTTGTGAACTATTCAAAAAGTATTTGTTTTATAATTAAACAAATGAAACATGTTTTCTGGAAATAAAAGCTTGAAATCACAGAGTGAAAGGGTTTACATATTCTAAGAAAATGTTAAAGTGTGATTGATACTGAAAAAAGAAAAATATTCTATTTTAAAATGCAGTGGAAAAATGTAGTCACTCTCCCATTTGTAATGAACTGTAAGTATATTCTCACAAATGGATGCATTTTGGAGTAAAATATGGTAACTGACAGTTCCTTCTTAATTTTCATTGTAGTATCATTGGAATCTGACCAACATCCTGGAATTTTTATTGCTAACTTTTAAGGAAAAAAAATGAAGGCCGGGCACGGTGGCTTATGCCTGTAATACCAGCACTTTGGGAGGCCAAGGCGGGCGGATCACGAGGTCAAAAGATCAAGACCATCCTGGCCAACATGGTGAAACCCCGTCTCTACTAAATACAAAAATTAGCTGGGCATGGTGGTGCGTGCCTGTAGTCCCAGCTACTCGGGAGGCTGAGGCAGGAAAATCACTTGAACCCAGGAGGTGGAGGTTGCAGTGAGCCAAGATCGCGCCACCGCACTCCAGTGTGGCAACAGAGCCAGACTCATCTCAAAAAAAAAAAAAAAAAAAAAAAAAGATTCTTAATGGCCAAGAGTAGCTGAGAAAATGCTCTTTTATACCCCAACACAAGTCTTAGTGATTATTTCAGTATTGACATACTCAAATGTACAGTGTTTCAAAACTATTGTAATTGTCTTGGCAAGTTAGAAACAAATTCCTTTCTAGGTCTTTTTTCATTTTTGTTTTAAACATGAAGAAGGAACACTTGAGGGGGAATGTCACCCATGTGAGATTCAAAGAGCTACAAATAGTAAGCTCAGTTTTGCCAGAGATTTAGCTCAAATAACCATTTACTTAAGGTTATCAAGGATGTAGATATTCTGACAAATATAATTGATTAGAAAATCATCATGTTCATAAGTAGCTATTGATTCAGACATTAATTTTGTTGCTCTAGGAGGTTGAGAAGGAGGTACTTCCTGCTGCAAAGAGTTTATGTCCTAATAAATTATGAATATTTTTATATTTATGTGTGTTAGTAACAGTCTGCCTTTGAGGTTTTTTCCTTCAGATTTTAACTGGTGTCTAAGCTGTACAGTTGGAAATGTTTTTTAGAATTTTTTTTTGTAAAATGTTTTTAACTTCCTTCTTATTATGATTTCTTTTTTATTGTATTCTTGTTTATTTTCATCTTTCTCTTTTTAATCCTCTCTTTGAATTTGAGATGATAACCAGAATTATGTTAATCAGTATCTTTGAACTTTGCCAAAAGTCGATGGCAAAGTATTTTCAAAATCATTTGAATATTTGTAATATTTTCATATTTTTTAAAATCAGCAATCCTGTTCGGTATATGTGATGAGTTTTTGAACATTCAATAAGTTGGCTTTCACAAGATAAAAATCTCTTGCTGAACAGCTGCTGGAACCCAATGTGAATATTGGACTGGCGGAGCCTTGGGAAGTGAACCTTCCATAGGAAGCATGATCCAGCTTCAGCAGTCCTTCAGAGGCCCTGAGTTTGCCCATAGTTCTATAGATGTGGAAGGACCCTTTGCAAATGTTAATAGAGGTAATACATGCTGTTTGTCAATTACTTGCCTAGTGGTAGTGACTGTTCATGTTTTATAATCTTGTGCTGGAACTATTAATACCATTAGCAAAGCATGAAATTTGTGTTCCTAGTGCTTTCCATTGACAAACCATCATACAGTGGGGCTGTAACTAACAAGGAAGGATGAGGTTGCATAATTCATATGGTGATCAGATGGTACTCCTGCCAACCTGGCCAGCCAGGTTCTAGTAACTGTGTTATGGTCTGAATTCTCTGGTGTTTTAGTTGAGCAGCAAATCTAATGTAGATTAATTGAAAAACAGTAGGTTTTAATCTTTCCCTCTGCTTCTTTGATAGTGTTGAAGATTAGAGCAGGTTATGGAGATAATACCAAAAAGCTCTATTAGGTAATATAGTACAGTTTTCCTTCTATATCCACAGATCCACTCAACCACTGATCAAAAATATTTGGAAAAATAACAATGAAAATAACAATGCAACAATAAAAATAGAAATAAGAAACAATACAGTATAACAACTATTTATATAGTATTTACATTGCATGAGGTATTGTAAATAACTAGAGATTATTTAAAGCAGGGGTATCCAATCTTTTAGCTTCCCTGGCCCACATTGAAAGAAGAATTGTCTTTGGCCACAAATAAAATATACTAACACTAATGATAGTTGATGAGCTAAAAAAAATTGATAAGAAGTCTTACAATGTTGTGTTGGGCTGCAAAGCCATCCTGGGCCACAGATTGGAGAAGCTTGATTTAAAGAATATGGGAGGATGTGCGTAATTTATATGCAAACACCACATGATTTTATGTAAGGGACCTGAGCATCTGTGGATTTGGTATGTGAGGGGAAGTGCTGGTACCAATCCTCCATTGATACCAAGGGACAACTGTATTCATATCCAAAAGAATATTTTCCTTATTTTTATATAACATAGTGTCCAGAATAGCTCTAAGATCTGTTCAGAATTTCAATATCAGTGCAGACCTAAGAAGTTATAAGTAGTTCTACTCTTTTTCCTTAAAACCCTACAATTATTTCTCTATCAGCAAAATGAAAATCATTTTTAAAATTGTGCTTTTTGAACTAGCCAAATATGTGTTAAATTTTTACTCTCACTAAATATAGTTAGCATAAGGCTACTTTTCATTTTATGCCATTCTTGAACATTCTTTTAACTCAATATATTTCAAGAATAATAAGAAAGTAAAGCTATAAATCCTCTTGGGAATGTAGGCTAACTTCAGGTAACCAACTAATTGAGTAACTCATGTAAAATTTTTTCATGACACTTGACTGGAACCACTGGTGCCTCAGGGAAGACCACTGGTGACATTCATTGCTTCAAGTCCTAGGATAGAATTTGAGTTTAGAAAACTAATTGCCTTTGAATATATTACTCTAGAAGGTATGGCAGTATTAACATGTAAGATCAGATTCCATTCTATGATGCCTGTTATGTTTTTAAAACTTTTTTAGAATGATCAAATGTGTTCTGGTAATTTTTTCATGAACTTGAGAAATTTTATTTTCAGATGACTGGGATATTGCTGTAGCTAGTTTATTACAAGTTACTCCTCTGTTTTCACATTCTCTGTGGAGTAACACTGTCAGATGTTACCTCATTTATACAGATGAAACCCAGCCTGAGATGGATCTTTTCCTTAAGGTGAGGATATTTATAAATTCTGTATCAACCAATTTAAAATATAAGTTAATATTATATTCTGTTTCTGATACTACTGTATCTCAACCAAATAGTTTCCTACTAGATTATATGTCTTAAAGAACAGGAAGCGTCTTGGGCTTTTCTTAAGAGAAAATATTGTTCAATATTATATGTAAAGAAAGGTGGTGAATTGAGAGTTTATTTATTTATTTTTACTTTCTGGAATTAACTTTCCTAGGACAGGAGCTAAGACAGAAAAAGAAGGTTTTAACTCGTTTTAGTTAGTTTTAAATGTCAAACTAAGGTGTTGGAACTTTCTGGACTTTTTTTTGTTTGTGTGTTTGTTTGCTTGTTTTGAGACAGTGTCTTGCTCTGTTGCCTGGGCTGGAGGGCAGTGGCACAGTCATAGCTCACTGTAGCCTAAAACTCGTGAGCTCAAGCAATCTTCCCACTCAGTCCTCCAGAACAGCTAGGACTACAGGTACACACCACCACATACGGCTAATTTAATTTATTTATTTTTTTTTTTTGCAGAGAAAGTGACTCATTGTGTTGCCTAGGCTTGTTTAGTGAATTTTTCATTGCATATTCTCCACAATGTTTAAGACTCTTGTTGATTGTGTCTACTTTAGTTACTCTCTCTTCCAGCTCTATCCTTGAGTCTGTCTCAGGTAGTAAAATTTTCTCCTTACTGTGGTTTAAATTTTCCAAGGCAGCCGTTGGAGTTATTCTAAGGCAAGGGTCACTATAGCCAGTTGGTGAAATCTGGCCTGCTGCCTGTTTTAAATGGCCCAGAGATAAGATTGGTTTTCACATTTTAAGTGGTAGAAAAAAATCAAAAGGAGAATAATATTTTATGACATGTGGAAATTATATGAAATACAAATCTTAGTGTCTATCAAGTTTTATTAGAACATTGCTGCACTCATTCGTTTACGTATCATCCATGGCAGCACTACAACACCAATTCAATGGCAGAGTAAATTGTGATAGAAACCAAATAAGCCACAAAGATCCCTGCTAAAGCAGCCAAGTTGTAAAGCTATTATTATTTTTGTAGACATATTTGCTATCTAACCCTTTATATAAAAAGCTTGCCTACCAGTGTTCCAAGGGAATTTTATAGAATCTGTGTGTCACATGCTATACCTGCTATATTAACATCTTCCCTGTTGTTGATTACCAAATTCATTTAGCTTTCCTTTGTGATATTATTCAATTTTAGTAAAAAGATAAAATATTTTAAAGCCCAAAGCTTCCATCCAGTAATTGAAAATGTTATTCCCAACGACATTTTGAGGGCATTACTGATTTCTTTCATAATAATAGTCATCATTACTTACTAACTTAATTATAGATTTATGTGTTTTTAACTTATATCGCTCTGCTTTAGCGTTCTGATATATCATCGTGGATGTTTTTTACTATACAGATTTATGGATCTATATTTTGCACTCTTTATGACAATAAAACAGATTGTTCATAGTAATAATAACAAAAAGAAACAAATACCAAAGCAAAATAGCCTAATACTGTCTCCTGTTGTTCTAGCTTTACTATGAAATAAGTCATTTTCTGAGCTAGAAAAAGGCCAAGTTGCTAAGCTATTATTATTTGTATTTGAGAGAAACTTGCCTTTTTAAGATTTTCTTTAAAATGTGATTATTTTTAAAATTTTATATGAAAAGATATCCAGTATAACCTGTTTTAAAGCGTGCTTTTTATTTTAAGTAGTATGAATCTCACTTGATCTTTAGTTAAATACATTAAACTTTTGTATGTTTTCATTTGTTTTTAGGACTATTCACCTAAACTTAAGAGAATGTGCGAGACAATGGGATATTTTTTCCATGCTGTTTATTTTCCAATAGATGTTGAAAATCAATACCTCACTGTAAGAAAATGGGAAATTGAGAAAAGTTCTTTAGTTATTTTATTTATTCACTTAACATTACCAAGGTAAGCTGAAAAAAAATGTAATTTATTATAAGCAGTAAACTGTAAATAGAATTGAGTTTGCCAAATAAGCTTCAAAGATAAATTTTATTGCATCCTTATAATAAAAAAATCCATGAAATTCAATAAATTCTACAACTGTTTCACACTTAAATAAAATAATTAAAAGTTTTAAGCTGTTAGACTTGTTTCATAGGTCATATGATCAACACCTTAATTTTTAGCTTATTTTAATCAGAGTTTGGCAAATATAGCCCAAGGGCCAAATCTAGCCAGGAGTTTGCTTTTGTAAATAAAGTTTTATTGGAACACAGCCACATTCATTCATTCATATATATATAAATTTTTTTTTCTTTTTTTTTTGAGACAGAGTCTTGCTCTGTCGTCCAGGCTGGAGTGCAGTGGCGCAATCTCGGCTCACTGCAAGCTCCACCTCCCAGGTTCACACCATTCTCCTGCCTCAGCCTCCTGAGTAGCTGGGACTATAGGCGCCCACCACCACGCCTGGCTAATTTTTTGTATTTTTGGTAGAGATGGGGTTTCACTGTGCTAGCCAGGATGGTCTCAATCTCCTAACCTTGTGATCCCCCTGCCTTGGCCTCCCAAAGTGCTGGGATTACAGGCGTAGGCCAACACACCTGGCCCATTCGTGTATTTTCTACAGCTGCCTTCATACTATAATAGCAAAGTTGAATCTTTACAACAGAAACCATGTGTCCTACAAAACCTGAGTTGTTTACTATCTGGCCTTTTACAGAAAAAGTTGATAACCCCTAATTTCAATAATCAACATTAACCTTCATTCTTTTCTTTCTTTGGATACAAACTGAGAGGTATTTGAACTATGTATTTTACATATAAAGTTCATGTACTTGATCACTTGTGTAGGTGTTGAATCATAATTTACATTTTTTGAGGAGCTTACTATTTAAATAGACCCAGTAAAGTGAACAATGTTCTTATAATGTGAATATAATCATGCTAATGAATCTTGTCTGCAAGTAAAGATTTTTTTTCACCAGTTAGATATAGAGATAAAGGACAAAATAAGTTTAATAAGAGGCTAATTTTTCTTTCTAGATTTACTGTCTAAATTTAACCTTTCCAAAGCATTTTGCTTTTTTAATTGTGGACCAACTCTGACTTTAACTGTGTATAGATATATGTAAGGCCTTAAGTTTCACCAGTTTCCCTGTAGCATAACCCATTGTAGACCCTTAAGACTTTGCCTAGTGGCCGGGTGAACAGGGAACTACCTGGTCAATGAGCCTTCATCCAGAATATGTTTAAGGAGTTCTTCAACTTGATTGCCTTCAGTAGGGTTTCATTGCTATCCACCCCTTCCCTTTTCTTTCCCTGTTTTTATATTTATTAAGGATATATCTTATCTTATTACTTAATGATTGAGTAGTTTTTTTATCTTACTTGGTAATATGTTATTTGTTGTTACATTATTTTTTCTAATTCTTATCTTTGATCCATAAAACCATTTTGTTTTTTCTTTACATTAAAGAAACTTTCTGGGTGACAGAGTATGACCCTGTCTCAAAAACAAACAAACAAAAACCTTACTTTTTAATAAAACATTGTATACATTATTCTTACACTTTAACATTTATTTTTCTTTTCCAATTTTAAACTCTTCTTAATGTTTTCCTCCCCATTTATTTCATATTTTATTACTTTTGCTTAGATTTCAGTTTATCCCCTTTTAGTAAAATTTTATATTGTACATTTTTAAAAATTTTATTCTTATTAAAGAAATGAGGATTTTAATTTCTTAAATTTAATAATTTTAGTCTCTACTTTGGCTTTATTTTACTTAAACTTTTCTTATTCCAGTTGCTTATTATTTTATTATTTGTTTCTTTCATGCCTGTCAAGAGGTATGGCAGTGGGGATGGGCTCCACACCACAAACAAGGGCTGTTGGAGCCTTTGTTTCAGATTTTTCCTTCGCCTACCCTGATGACTACCCCATCCTTCCCAAAAGATGAATCTAGAAAAGCCTCTCCTGAGCAGCTTGGAAGCTCCATGGGGAAACACTTTCCTGTCAATAATTATTCCCTGTGTGCAGATGGTATCCACAGAGTTATTTGAAGATAGTGTTCACTGGCTTCTCACACTATTCAGGCCTCTTATAAGAAATTATGAAGCTCAAAATGTATGGTTTTGATGTATGAAATGATTGGATTTGGAGCAAGCTATGCTAACAACATACTTAGTTGTAGGCTGGGAAGGTAGGCAGGAAGTCATGCTTAGTGAGGTGCACAGGCACTGTGCCTCTCGGTGTTACTGACTGGAGAAGGTGCATTAGAGGGAAACGGCCAGGCTCCTGCACTGCTTTTCCAGGGGTTCTTCTTTAATGCCTTTAATTTGACCAGCCTCACTTCATGGAAGGAGAAAAATCCCGGGAGAAATCTCCTACAACGAAGAATGGGAACTGAAATAGGGTGAGTCCGGGAGAGGCTGGCTGAGTAGGAATATTCCAGATAAAGGTTTAAAAATGAGGAATTCTTTGCTCATGATTGGCCCTCTTTCATTACATCAGCACCCTTGTTGGGCAGACCAGACTCACTAAGAAAGCTTGAACCTACGTAGAAGGAGAGGTGCCTCTCCCTTTGCACAGCAGCACAGAGGGGCGACTGTGACTGGTTTTCCTCAGGGCATCATCAGTCTTTCTCAAGGGATGGGGAGGCTTCCGTGCCTAAATAGTAATTCAGTCACCTTTCAGGACTTCTTAGGCCCTATTATTGGTTTCATTCAGCTTTTTTTTTTTTTTTACCAGATCACCTATAGAGTTTCGTTATAGAATTTAGGCAAGTGGAAGCCCTTGTTTGTTCTATACTTGAACTTTCTTCATTATGCCTCAGCTTTACTGTTTTAACTCCTCCAGCCCCACAAAGCTACATCTTCTCTTGCAGCTCCTCCCCTACATTTTTGTCTGCTCAGGCTACTTTCTGAAGGGATCCTAAAGTGCAACTTATCAACATATTAGCTGGCCTGTTATACTATCTAACTTCAGCAATTATCACCTCATGACTCGTTGTTTCATCTGTAGCATCTGCTTCCGTTCCACCAGATTATTTGAATAAAATACCAGAGATCATACCATTTTATCTGAGCCCCATGGGTCAGTTTTGTAGGGAATGCCTTGAAATATGGACGTGTGCCTGAACAGCAAGCCCATTGTTTGGTCTTCTAATGGGCCACAGACTTTTCCCACAAAGCACTGACAGATGAATCATTGAAATTCCAAAATTCGATAGAACATGGCCAGAGTGATTTTAATATAGAAAACTTCTGTGGTTTGGGTAGAATGGATTGGCGCAGAAATATACAACAGAATGTTTCTTAATTTTTAATATTTTGGGCTAGTAGTCTAATTTGCAGATTCTGAATCATACAATATCGCCCTTCTACACATACACACACACACACCCCCCACAAAAACATTTGTTTCCCTAGACAACTTTCATTTAATGCTTTCTAGAAAGGGGAATTGGTCGCAGTGTCCTTTGTTGTGTAGAAAACCCCAGTAGATGTGGGCTGCACTCAGTGGCTCATGCCTATAATCCCAGCACTTTGGGAGGCCAAGGTGAGAGGATCACTTGAGCCCAGGAATTCAAGACTTGCCTGGGCAACATGGTGAAACCCCATCTCTACAAAAAATACAAAAATTAGCTGGGTGTGGTGGCGTGTGCCTGTGGGCCTAGCTACTCGGTAGGCTGAGGTGGGAGGATCGCTTGAGCCCAGGAGGTTAAAGCTGCGGTGAGCTGTGATTGCACCACTGCACACCAGGCTGGGTGACAGAGTGAGACCCTGTCTCAAAAAAAAAAAAAAAAAAAAAAAAAAAAGGGAGAGAAAGAAAGAAGGGAGGGAGAGAGAAGACCTCAGCAGATTATTAGTTCTAGGACTTTTTTTTCTAGAATTTTCATTAAAAATATAATTTTGGTTCCCTATAACAAAGTTGTTTTTTGGGATTTTTTTTACCTTCACCTCAGTCACCCAACCTCTTCCAATCTGTCTCCAGATCTTTCCTGTAGTATATATTGGGTATAAGGATTAGGGTCATTTATTAGATGAGAAAAGTCTGAAAGAACTGGGAAAGAGAAAACTCTCAAAACTTTGGGGCTGCCATCCAAACAGAGAAGCACCTCTCCTTCTACATAGGTTCAAGAATTCTTAGTGAGCCTGGTCTGCCCAAGAAGGGTGCTGACATAATGAAGGAGGGCCAATCAAGAGCAAAGAATTCCTCATTTTGAAACCTTTATCTGGAATAAAGGCCTCTCCTGGACATGCCATATTTTAGCTCCTATGTTTCATTGTAAGAGATTTCTCCTGTGATTCAGCCATGAAGGGAGGCGGGTCAAATTAAAGGCATTAAAAAGAACTCCTGGAAAAGCAGTGCAGGAGCCTGGCTGTTGCCCTGGATGGTGCCTGTGTACCTACCCACGCATGACCTCCTGCCTACTTGTGTTAACATGGAAATTATACATTTTTAAATGGAATTTTGTTTGCCATCTATTTTCAAAGTCTCATGAGTCTAGTCCATTATTTTGAGCCAAGTTTAAGAGTATTTTTGAGATCTTTTTTAGGTTTAAAAAATAAAGTTTTATGTGCTTTACAATTTAATGCATAATTTATTATATTTATGCTCACTGTTGGCTAATGAATGTATTATATTTTAAGACCAAACTGGAAGAGAGCCATAACACATCCATTTTTGGAAAGCTTCACTTGTTGTGCAGTTGGACCTTTTCTGGCCACTTGTCACTGTAGTAAAACTCCATTATTGGCACTTAGGTTGATTAACTAACTGCTTGCTGCCACAATGCAGTATAGCACACAAAATGCTGATTTCCAATCTAGCCTTTTATTGGAAGACTGTGAAGAAGCTTTTCTGAAAAACCCTGAAGGAAAACCTCGATTAATCTTTCATCGTTTGGAAGATGGAAAAGTCAGTTCTGACTCTGTCCAGCAATTGATTGATCAAGTTTCTAATCTAAACAAGACCAGCAAAGCCAAGGTAAAATTCATAGGCATTTTTGAAAAACACACTTAGCTGAGGGAAAAACTGGAGCAAAGGCCATGAGGTGGGCATAAGCCTGGCATATCTGGGGAGGGGAGAGAAACCAGTGTGGCTGGAACAGATAAGTGAGGGGAGTAGGAGGAGAGGGGGCCTCATTGATTGTGAAGAACCTCGGAGGCCATTTTGAGGATATTAGCTTTTCACTTGGAGTGAGATTGGGAGCCACTGCAGGACTATAAGCAACAGAATGAGGGCTGGCGTGATCATCTGACAGTGATCTTTCTGGCTGCCATGTTGAGAATAGGTGGTCATTCAGGGGTAGTGTGCAGAGTCTGAGAGCCATTGCCATCATACAGGTGAGAGATGCTGGTGACTCCAAGCAGGGTGGTGGTAGAGGAAATGATGAGAAGTGGTAGGATTCTGAGTAAATTTTGACAGTAGAGCCAATAGGATTTCTTAACAGATTGGTTGTGGGTTGTGAGAAAAGAGAGAGAAATAAATCGCAGTGTGTGGCTAGCAAGAGTATGATCTGTATGATCAGATGGTATTTTGTGCTTTTCTCCCAAGCACAGAGTTCTTCTGTCTACTGACCAAGGATTAGTGTCAGGAGGAGACTTTTTTTTTTAAGAGACAGAGTCTCACTCTGTCACCCAGGCTGGAGTGTGGTAGCTTGTTCATATCTCACTGAAGCCTCAAACTCCTGGACTCAGAGATCGAGCAGTCCTCCCACCTCAGTGTCTTGAGTAGCTGGGACTACAGGCACAGGCCACCATGCCTGGCTACTTTGTTAAAATTTTTATAGAGATGGGGACTTATTATGTTGTCCACGCTGCAGGAGGAGACTTTTTATAGTGACTTTTCCTAAGAGCATTGGGGAAAGCAAAAAGCTGATGATGGGATGAGAGAAATTTGATCATTCCTAGATGCATGTTGGGATAATTTTTAGAATACATATTACAGGCTTTTTATTACTGTACACGGAGGCAACTTGGTAAATGTCTGTAGTTAATGTGAATAATACAATTGAAAACAACTCTAGGATTTTTACAGAGTTTTCACTTCCCTGTGCCCAGCCAAGAAATAAAATCAAATATGAATACAAGCATTTTTCTTTCCATCATTTAGTATTGAAAAGATAGCTTGAGAGCAGCATGACACATAAAACTAAAGAGACTAAGACAAAAAGGAAGTGCATTTTTATTATAATTTCCAGAGCCATTTCATTCTTTGTTTTAATTATTGTAGTATCAGCCTAGTCCACTACGTCCCACAAAAAAGATATTAATTTATCTTTTTTATTCTATTTATTCTATAACCTTTACTTTAAAAAATTTAGTATGCTGGAAGGATGAGTTTATTTTATAAAATAGGAGTGAAATAAGATCTCTCTGCCATGATTATAAATGTAAATGTAGGGTAAATCTCCATGCTTGTTCACTTGGTATGTATTGTAAAATCATTGCCTTATTCTAATTGTATCAAATATTAGTAGTAGTAGTAGACATGTTCTTACAGATTGGGCATTCTTCTTTCAGCCAGCTCAGTGAGACTACATAGTATACTATTTTGCTTTTGTCTTTTATAGAATTATAGCTTTATTGACATAAAATTGGATTTTGATGCATTTTGAAGGGTAAATATGTTGAGTGGTATGGAAATACATAAGAGAAAATTTGGAGACAGAGCAAAAAAAAAATGTATACTTCTTGGTTTTTTTTTTGTTTTTTGTTTTTTTTTTTGAGACAGAGTCTTACTCTGTCTTCCAGGCTGGAGTGCAGTAGAGCGATCTCAGCTCACTCCAAGCTCCGCCTCCCGGGTTCACGCCATTCTCTTGCCTCAACCTCCTGAGTAGCTGGCACTACAGGCACCGGCCACCACGCCCGGCTAATTTTTTGTATTTTTAGTAGAGATGGGGTTTCACCATGTTAGCCAGGATGGTCTTGATCTCCTGACTTCGTGAACCGCCCACCTCGACCTCCCAAAGTGCTGGGATTACAGGCATGAGCCACCGCGCCTGGCCTACTTCTTGTTTTATTGCTCCATTTTTCACACTAAATCCCTTGTGTGACCTTGGACAAGTTACTTACTTTGCCTCAGTTTACTCTTCTATAAAATGGGGATAATAATAGTATCTCCCTCCTAAGGTTGTTGTGAAGATAAATTAGCTAATATGTGTTAAATATTTAGAATAGTTCCTGTCACATAAGCAGTATAAAAGTATTTACCACCACTTCCTTCTGATATTATGGTTTTTCTCATTGTTCTTAAATGATTTTTATCTAGATCATTGATCACTCAGGAGATCCTGCAGAAGGAGTATATAAAACTTATATTTGTGTAGAAAAGATTATTAAACAGGTAAATATGCATTCTCTGTAAGTTTTCATCTAAAATATTTTAAGATCACTTTCTATGAAATTGATTTTTCCAGAGAAAACCACTTGCTTGTCTTTTTGAACACAGTACCTGAGGAAGGCGCTGTTGTTTCTGTTGGGAGTCCATCCTGTGGTATGTTCTTAGTATTACTAGGACCATGTATTAATATCTTTATCTCTCATCTATCTCAGAGGACTATTTGATGCTTCAATACCTAAGTGTAAAACATATTACAAAAGTGCTAGCCAAAAACTATTTAAGAGAAAGTGTTCATTTTATTCAATAGGGAGGCTCCTCTGTGAATTTTGAATTTTTATATATTAGGAAAGTCTCTCTCAGGTTTTCCCCCCATGTTATCCCTAACAGAAGAGGGGGATGAAAGCATGCCTCCAGGGGGGTGAGAACATGGACCAGGGAGGGGCCTTGAGCTGGAAGTCTCTATGAAGTTTCATGTGCTATCTTGAAAATTTATGTGAGTTATATATTCTGCCTGATATTATGTCTATGTTTGTGTTTAATATAAAAAAATTTTAAATTATATATTAGAAAAAAATAGTAATAGTGATTATTTATTATTCCCCTCTCCCTCAAACAGAATGGGCGCAGTGGGAAGATGTACCATGTTTAGCCTGTGGTTGCCCACACCTTCTGACACCTCCCCCAGCCAACCAAAAACCCTATTTGAGAAGTAGGAAGCTTGAAGATTTATTATTAGAGAAAAAGAGTGAGCCCCAAAATGATATGACCTCTGGCAACACATTTTGTATGGTGCTCTCTAGTATAAAGATTGTCTTTATCAAATTTGAGCTTCACAATCTTGCAAATTTTAGGACCAAGATAAATTAATTGAGCAGAATGAATGGCAGCAAGTGAAAGTGAATGTACTTACCATCATTAGTGCTTGAAGGATAACATATTTTCAGTAACCTAATATAAAAACTGAATATGACCACAGAGATACTTGAGATCAAGAAATCACATCTTAGTAATTCAATTCTTATAGCATATTTCCTAGCCATTAGTACTTTATAACTATTCACCAGCCAGATACAACCAAAATGTTGTGTAACATTTTTCAGAAAACAAATTCCATGGGATTCAAATATTCCTTTAATTTTATTTTTATAAAAAGAGGTATTCATTTCTATTATTTTAATATTTTTATTTCTTTGTTTTTAAATTAGTGATTTTTTTGTAGTTATCAGTTTATTCTTGTAGGTATTATACAAAGGCTGTATGTTTGAACTTGCCCTCCCAAAAGTAGGTGAAGCCCACTTTGGGCCTGGGTGACCCCGCTGTAAGATCTTTATTTTCTTCATTCATTTTTGTGTGGTTGTTCTTTGTGTTTAGGACATACTGGGTTTTGAGAACACAGACTTGGAGACTAAGGATTTGGGCAGTGAGGATTCCATTCCAGAAGAAGATGATTTTGGTGATGTTCTGTGGGACATACATGATGAACAAGAGCAAATGGAAACTTTTCAGCAGGCTTCTAATTCAGCCCATGAGTTGGGATTTGAGAAAGTAAGTGCTTGGAGTATTATTGCAACAAAGATCTGTCACCACTTAAAGGCTGTATTATGATTGTATTTTCATCTAAATATAGTTAAGGTTTATGATTATATTAGTTGTCTAATCTCATGGCTTGATTATCCATGTTGAGATGTGCTTAGGTTTGTGTCATAAGAAAGATATGTGAGATTCAAATGTGCTTATAAAGACCGAACATTTTTAGTTATGGACTAGAATTTATCAACCACATGTTTATTATGCTACCATCTGCAACTCACTCAGACCAGGATTAGGATAGCTAGGAAACTTGATAAGGATAGTAAGGCTGAGGCCAGGTGCAGTGGCTCACGCATGTAATCTCAACACTTTGGGAGGCTGAGACAAGCAGATTGCTTTAAGCCCAGGAGTTTGAAACTAGCCTGAGCAACATGGCAAAACCTTGTTTTTACAAAAAATACAAAAGTTTACCAGGCATGGTGGTATGCACCTGTAATCCCAGCTACTTGGGAGGCTGAGGTGGGAGGATCAATTGAGCACAGGAGGTCAGGGCTGCAGTGAGCCATGACCACACCCCTGCCCTCCAGCCTGGGTAACAGAGCAAGACCCTGTCTTTAAAAAAAAAAAAAAAAAGAAAGAAAGAAAGAAAAGAAAAAAAAGAATAGTAAGTCTCTCTGTTCTTCCAATTCTTGAATCAAAATATTACATTCAGAAAACAAAGCATAGTAGTTCATGAAATAGGCAGATAAGTCCTTCTTTATCAGTCTTATCAACATCCTTAAATATCTAAACAAATTATCAGAACTTGAAATATACAATGAAATCTATGTGCAAGTTAAAAAAATATAATAGTTAAAAATTAATGTAAGAACTAATATTTTAAAGAATACTATAGTAGCTAATATTAACAGTTGTATTTTTACAGAACTTTTTGAATTTAGACTGTCCGTTAATGTCCTGGTTCCATCATTTACTAACTAGATTTCTTCAAGTTACTTGGCCACTCTAAACTTTGACTTTCTTGGCTGTAAAATGAGAATAACTAATAGTACCTACCTCATAGGTACTTGTTGCAAGGATTAAATCAGATAATGCACATAAAGTGCTTAGCACAGTACCTGGCCCATGATAAATGTTAGTCGTTATTTTATGAGAAGTATTGCTATTGTTATTTTATAAATAAAGAAACTGAGGTTCAGATTAGGGTTTGCCTAAGAGTACACAGTGAGTAGATTGCAGATCTGGGAGTTGAACCTCGTTCTTTTCTGGCTCCAGATCCTATGGTTTTTCTTTTATAGCCATGGGTCTTAACCTGGGAAGCATGGATCCTATAAATGGGCTTTCTGTGGGACCATGAACTAAGTTGTTAGGACTTATGAGGTAGTAAATCAAGACTTTCTTTTCTCCTTCAGAAGTATCATTTCTATTTGAATTATTTGAGTTCCTGGGGAATATATTCTTTAGAGATATAATTTTTCTGCTTGTTAATTAAATATAACAAGTAGAAAAATTGATTGAAAAACTATACCAAGTAATTCATTATAGTTGCTGGAGAATTGTGTTATTCTAAAGCAAGCCTAAAGCTGGCTGCAAACTACTTACTATACACTTTTTTAAATTCCTCATCAGCTATCATTTAGACCACTGGTACACTGAAGAAAAAGTCAAGTCTCAAGATAATTTTTGAAACTCCTTAATAAGTACTAAGATATTTTGGTTTTTGAGTGTGTCCTTTTTAGCTTTGAACCAGTTTTGAGTTTCTGGGGAAAACTTGGGAAATAGGAATTCTTGGACTTTACACTGAACTCACTTAGTTTCAAAAAGATCTCAGGCAGCCTAGGCTAACCTGATTGTCTTGAGCAGATTGGGAGACTCCAAGTCCCCAGACAAAACCTGCTGTTATTTGGACCTTTTCTCACCCCCAGAAACTGAGGTGATTCCCAGGACAGGTGTTTATTCCTCTGACCAGGAGATCTAGGTGGTCTGCTAGTACCTTCAAGGTCTTCTGCAGTATTTTCTGTGATTTGGGGGCTACAGTGAGCTCCCTGAAACATTCTGCAAACATTTGAGTGTTGCAAAACCCCACAGGGACCTGAAATGTTGTCCTTTACCCATTAATTTACAGCAATACTACATGTAGAAGAAATTGGGGCCCATTTTTTGTTTGTTTGTTTGTTTGTTTGTTTTGAGACGGAGTCTTGCTCTGTCGCCCAGGCTGGAGTGCGGTGGCACTGTCTCGGCTCACTGCAAGCTCCACCTCCCGGGTTCACGCCATTCTCTTGCCTCAGCCTCCTGAGTAGCTGGGACTACAGGCGCCCGCCACCACGCTCGGCTAATTTTGTTTTTGTATTTTTAGTAGAGACAGGATTTCACCGTGTTAGCCAGGATGTTCTCGATCTCCTGACCTCATGATCCACCCGCCTCAGCCTCCCAAAGTGCTGGGATTACAGGCGTGAGCCACCGCGCCCAGCCATTTGAGGCCCATTCTTAGTTTACTAGTTCAGTCATGTTTTTGCCAGCCATAAAAGTAGGCAATTATGAGGGTGCTGTCACTAAAAATAGATTTCATTTTCTCACACAGCTTTTCTCCAGTATTTTCAAAGAATAATCAGAAGTTGACTCTTCAGTAGTCTCAGAGGCATGTGCTTCCTTACAATGTAAATTCATTTTTTTTTCTAGTATTACCAACGCCTTAATGATCTAGTGGCAGCACCAGCCCCGATTCCACCTCTTCTCGTGTCTGGAGGACCAGGTTCTGGGAAGTCTCTTCTTTTATCAAAGTGGTATGATGCAGTGCAATTAAATTATTGTTGTCATTGTTTGAATTACTGAATCTATTCAACAAAATGTATTGCATGCCTGCCTTCCTGCGCGGCCTACACTAAACATTAACAAAGTAAAAAGGAATAAAACAATAGGTTCATGCCCTGAAATGCATAGAATTTGGATGTTAGAGAGAAGACACAGAATGAGAAAGGAATAGGAAGCATGAACATTTATGATTATGTATATAAATCACATAAGTAACAGCTATGGGAGTGCTTTGTAAGGAAGTGATCATATGTGATATGTCATATAACACATGTTATTAAGTGGATTGTAATGTGCCTTTATTTGTAATTATTGCCTTTATTTAAAAGTTTCATTGATACTTTAAATATTTGAAACGACAAAAGCATACTAGTTAGAGTGAAATACATTCTACAGAACATCAAAATTAAGGATAATCTTCACCATGAATGCAATCTAGTTCTTCAAATTATGGACTAAGGTTCATATAAGCTAATAAACTTTATTATTTCATTATGTTATTTAAAAACAAGCAGTAAAAATATTTTCTTTCTTTCATAATTATTTATATTGAAGGGTTAGCATATGTAGTTGTCTCCTTTTTATTACCCTTTTATTTAAAGTTATGTTTGGAAAATAATATTTTTGTATCTAACAAATTTTCCTCTAGTAGGAATTTTTAATTAAAAGTTAATGCTTGTTTTACTAATACCTTACCCTCATATGTAAAGTACTTTGGTTTCTGTTAATTAACATCTATTTGTAATTAAAATGAATCTACAATTTTTTAAAAGATTATTTAGAAGGATCTAAAAGTGGAGTAAAAACAGAAATCTCCATATTTATTTAAAAGTAACTGACCACCTGATTGCTCAGTTAGGCAACATTTGATGTTTACTGCATTGTGAATTCTTTTTTTATTGACAGTCAAGGAACTTTATCGGTTTTATAAAAGTTCTGTCTTTTTCTTTCAGGATTCAATTACAACAGAAGAATTCCCCCAACACACTGATTCTTTCCCATTTTGTGGGAAGGCCCATGTCAACCAGCTCAGAGTCCTCCTTGATTATTAAACGACTAACTCTAAAGGTATAGTATCCCATCTTTTGGAATTACAGAATTTTATTTAGATTCAGAAATTGTTGGGACTAATAAGTACCTACTGGTAAACCAATTTTCAGTATTATCCACCTGTTTTGGTTTTATATAAGGTTAAAAATAATATTCGATACAATCGGGTCCTCTTGGTGACTTGATTTTGGTTTATAAAAAAGTAAGAATAGAAATATTTCCCCCAGCTCTGTAACTACTTCAGTAACTACGTGTAACTACTTCAGTTTGTGTGTGTTCTTATCTTGTAGTTGATGCAGCACTCTTGGTCAGTCTCTGCTCTGACACTGGATCCTGCTAAGCTTCTGGAAGAATTTCCACGTTGGCTGGAAAAACTCTCTGCTCGTCATCAAGGCAGCATCATCATCGTTATTGATTCTATAGATCAAGTTCAGGTACCGTTTTCCATTTGTTACCTATTGATATGCTCAGAAAGAGATGTAAATTCAGTAATAGCTAGAGCAGGCATTTATATGTTTGTGAGAAGAAAATATGATGTTATTTTTTATATTTCTGCTTTATTTCTAGGGAGGTAACATGGATTAAAAAAATATATCGTATGCCCACAGACACTAATATCTTATTAAGAAAGACCAACTGAATTTACACAATTAACAAAGACTATTCGTTCTGACATATTTTTAGGGCCTTGACATTTCCTGACGTGTCCAGAGTTCAGATTGGTGATAATAATGTTTTGCTACTTGTTCTTTTAAAATTCTAAAATAAATCACCCCAAAATAAGATTTTTATCCTTAATAAGATAAACTTAATGAGAATTTCATTTTATTTGGGGAGCTATTATTGGATTGTTTTGAAATATTTTGATTAATAGATTGAATTTTGTTTTTATATTTTTAAGCAAGTTGAAAAACACATGAAATGGCTGATAGATCCACTGCCAGTGAATGTAAGAGTAATTGTTTCTGTGAATGTAGAAACATGCCCTCCAGCATGGAGGTACGATGCCAACTTTAGTTCTTTCAGAGTACATGAAATGTTTTAAGTACAAACAAGGAAAGATTTTTAATATGCATTTATGGTTTTCACATTTTTTATGTAACTTGCAGTGAGGATGGGGAGAAGTGGGTGAATTTATGAAAAAAAAATACAATCTATAGAATTGTATAGATGGTGTGAACCTGTAATCCCAGCACTTTGGGATGCCAAGGCGGGTGGATCACTTGAGGCCAGCAGTTTGAGACCAGCCTGGCCAACATGGTGAAACCCTGTCTCTACAAAAAATACAAAAATTAGCTGGGCATGGTGGCGCATGCCTGTAATCCCAGCTACTTGGAAGGCTGAGGCAGGAGAATCGCTTGAACCTGGGAGGCAGAGGTTGCAGTGAGCAGAGATCATGCCACTGCACTTCAGCCTGGGTGACAGAGGGAGACCCTGTCTCCAAAAAAAAAGGGATTTGGGGGGAGGTTAGATAGATCTGGGATGCAAGGGAAAAGAAAGAGCCAGGATGATTCTGGAGTTTCTGACTTGAGAAATTAATTAATGTAGCTTCATGAACTGAAATAGGAAACACAAAGGACAGGCAGGTTGTGGGGAAAAGGTGATGAGTTTAGTTTTTAATCATGGTTAGTTTGAGTAGCTCCACGTAACGATGTCTAGTAGGCAGTTAAATTTATAGATGAGGAAAATAGAGAAAGGGCCGGGCTGGGAATAATAGACACCTGTTATTTTGAAATGCAAGCTCACTTTAATGGTTCTTTAAAAAGTAGTAGAGTGGCCGGGCATGGTAGCTCACATCTGTAATCCCAGCACTTCGGGAGGCCAGGGCGGGTGGATCACCTGAGGTCAGGAGTTCAAGACCAACCTGGCCAACATGGTGAAACCCATCTCTACCAAAAATACAAAAATTAGCCAGGCATGGTGGCGGGTGCTTGTAATCCCATCTACTCGGGAGGCTAAGGCAGAAGAATCGCTTGAACCCAGGAGGTGGAGGTTGTAGTGAGCTGAGATTGCACCACTGCACTGCAGCCTGGACGACAAGAGTGAAACTCCCATCTCAAAAAACAAACAAATGGCTGGGCGCAGTGGCTCATGCCTGTAATCCCAACACTTTGGGAGGCCGAGGCGGGTGGATCGGGAGGTCAGGAGTTCAAGACCAGCCTGGCCAACAGTGAAACCCCGCCTCTACTAGAAATATAAAAAATTAGCCAGGCGTGGTGGTGGGCGCCTGTAATCCTAGCTACTTGGGAGGCTGAGACAGGAGAATCACTTGAACCTGGGAGGCAGAGGTTGCAGTGAGCCGAGATGGCACTACTGCACACCAGCCTAGGCAACAGTACGAGACTCTGCCTCAAAAAAAAAAAAAAGTAGAGCAATTGGATCCCATGGAGCAGTGTTTCTCAACCTGTTTTTGCTCCTATAAGGAGCCATTTTAGACATTTTATTTGTAATTGCCTCCCCCAAGAAATTTTAATACCACACACATATTGTATATCAGCTTGTGTATATAGATATATGTGTCTATGTGTACTTTATACATAAAAAGAGTAAGTTTTTTCACTCCCCCACAAATGCAATTTTCAGTACCATATCAAGAATGTATATTGTAATAGTTAAATTTCAGTTGCATTACAAGTGCTTGTGGACAATAATTGTGTCTGATGCCACTCCTCATAGATACTCATACCTATGCTTAGTTTTACTGATAGTATGGAACATAGAACTAGAAATGTTTTACCATGTAACTATCTAATGTATATACTGTTTATTTTATAACACTGTTTGTTGTGATTCATTGCTCAAAGTAATGATACACATATTAGAATAAGATATATTAATTACTTAATATGATTAATAGACATTAGTTTTGCTTATTTTACAAAAGCAGTATAAAGTGTTAATTCCTGTGGTGGATTTTAAATTGTGTTATGGGTAATTACAGTTCTTGTTGTATTATTAAAATTTCATTTTTCTTTTCTTTACATAAAAGGTTGTGGCCTACACTTCATCTTGATCCCTTAAGTCCAAAAGATGCAAAATCTATTATAATTGCAGAATGCCACTCTGTAGACATTAAATTGAGTAAAGAGCAGGTGTGTATTTTTCATTTTGATGCAATCTTTTACTCTCTCATCTTTCCTATGAAACATCTTATGTGAGACTTAAAATTCAATATAGGGGATCTGTTATAAGGAAAACTGGAGTTTAGTAATTACTTTGGTAAATGTATTGCCTCTTAAACTAATGACAGGTAGAAAAGAAGCAATAAAAAGATTTTGGTCTTAAGGTTGACTTTAGTATATAATATTAAGCAGGTATTTTAAAAGCAAAAGAGCATTTTCATACTGGCCATATCTGTGGTCTGCAGTTGGAAGGCTGCCCACAGCCGAGGAGCCACCACTGCATGTTGTGATGTCACGGATGGCAGCAATAGTGTTATTTCTGTCGGGGTACTTGTTGATGGCTGGGTAGTAAAGACCGCTTAATTCCAGGGTGGTTTTTGTATTTCTGTTTTGTTTTTCTTGGTAAACTGGTGCAGGAGAAGAAGCTAGAACGACACTGTCGTTCTGCTACAACCTGCAATGCCCTTTATGTCACCCTTTTCGGCAAAATGATCGCGCGGTGAGTGGTGATTATTTTACATGATCTTCTGCATGTTTTGTGTTTGCTGCAGACCCTTTCTCACCCTGCAAAACTGAGAACTGATCACTACACCAGTCTGTTGAGCCACTCAGATTTTATTTGAATAGTGATACTAACATTTGTGAGAACATGGCTTACAGGTGCCTACTGTCCATGATTGTCAGAACTTGATAGATTTGTCTAATTTTCTTCACACTAATCTGTTCCCTATTGGAGGTTGCAAAAGAAAGCCATCCTCACCCTCATTTGTGGCCCCTAGCTTTGGGAAAGTGAAGGAAACAACTGAGGGTTACAATATTATTTCAGGTATCTTTGAATATCAGGAGGTAGATATATGGATATGAATTTTTAATTGTCTCTGTTCTCAAGTCCTGATAAACTTTTTAATTATAAAAATAGTTCTATTTTAGATATCCATTAGTAATCTGCCTTTAGATAAGCATTAGAGTATCACTACTTTTATTTCCTCAGTATAGCTTTACCCTATTCTATCTATTCTCAACCGTTAGAATGTTTTACTACTTTTATTTCTTCTTCAGTATAGCATCACTCTACTTTGTCTTTTCTCAATCTGAGGTAAAAAAAAAAAAGATTAATACATTTTTTGTTATTCATTGCAATAGATGGCAATTCTAGCACACATATTTCCAGACACCGAATCTAGTACTTCTTGTCTCTTTATTCCATGTTCTCATCTTGAGAACCAAATTTGAAATAAAAAAATCTTCTGAAACTTTACATTGCCCATGATATTTCATCTTTGTTTTTGTTTTTGAGACAGTGTCTCACTCTCTGTTGCCCAGGCTGGAGAGCAGAGGCTTGATCTCGGCTCACTGTAACTTCTGCCTCCCAGACTCAAGCGATCCTCCCACCTCAGCCTCTTGAGTAGCTGGGACTACAAGAGCACACCACCATGCCTGGCTTATTTTTGTATTTTTAGTATAAGCGGGGTTTTGCCATGATTGCCAGGCTGGTCTTGAACTCCTGGGCTCAAGCAATCCACCTGCTTAGCCTCCCAAAGTGCTGGGATTACAGCATGTGAGCCACTGTACCCAGCCTGCCTGTGATATTTCCACTGTCCTTTTCCACTGTTAGTTGTAGCAACACATCTGGCCTCTGTGAACATCAGTGATACAATGAGTATGATTCAAGAGTGTGAGTAATTTTTCATACATTTAATAATGTTCATTGAAAGTATTTTACTGTTTTTATTTTTGAAAGTACCTATTTTAAAGAGACTATGGACCCTTTGTTTTTTCTCTTTGTACATCTTTATATTATTTTTAAAAACTGGTAAATATTGTGTAATCTTTTAAAACATACCCCCCTATTTAATGATTTTCTTTAGCCTTGTGTTTTCAAAATTCTGGCTCCACACAAATTTAATTTGCATGGCTAACTAACAATACTTATCATCGTTTCCCTGCTTCCTGTATGTAGGTGGCATGCTTCTGGATAATAAGAACCGTGTCTGACTCATTTTTATGTTCCATAATGCATAGTAATTGCTTAACAAATAATAGATTTCAGCATGTTTATTGCACTGAATTAAATTATATATAGTAAAATAAACCCAATGACTCTAGCAGCCCCATAAAACTACCACTTTCCTTTATCATGTTTTATTGAATTTGTTATTGGTTGCAGTACAAAAAATAGAGTTCACGTTGTTTTTAATCGATCTCAAAATTTTCACAGATGTTGGCAATCTGTAAGAAATTAAATCTCTTCTCGATTCCAACAGTGCTGGGAGAGCAGGCAATTTAGATAAAATCCTTCATCAGTGTTTCCAGTGTCAAGATACTCTTTCATTATATAGACTTGTTCTGCACTCTATCCGGGAGTCCATGGCAAATGATGTGGATAAAGAGCTAATGAAGCAGGTAGAATGTAATAAACTTATAAAAAGGAATGTTAGTTTGCTTTGTGTGTGTGTGAATGGAAATAAATAACAATTCTTTTAAAATTTGTGCTTAAATATGTTTCAGGCATATGCAGGAATGCTGATAGCCATAGTGTGCTTGTGGAAATTTGTGTTTACCTGATTATCATTGAGATTTATCATCTTTTCATGTTATTGGCTATCCTTTTTTTCTGAATTGCTGGTTCAGGTCTTTACCCATTTTTTAATTGGGTCATTTGTCTTTTCCTTATCGATCTGTAGGTGTCTTAAATGTTCTGCATACTGAAAACAAATCCTTTATTAGAAAATTTGCAAATAAATGTCTTTTTCCTGTTTGTTTCTTGTCTTTTAACTGTATGGTATCATTCATTATGTTTCATTCATTATACAAAGCTTTGTTTCATATATATATGTGTGTGTGTGTGTAAACACACACACACACACACACACATAATTTCCTTCAAAAAGTTTTATAGTTTTTTCTTCGTGTGTGAAGTCCTTAACTCTTGTTGATATCTTTTTGTTTATTGTGTGAGGAAGGATTCTATTTTTTAATCCTCTGTCATATGGATAATTAATTGTTCTTTTTACTAAATAATACATCTCTTCTGCTCATTTGCAATGCCAACTGACAAATATCAAGCTCACAAATAAATGTGGGTCTGTTTCTAGGCTCTTCTGTTCTGATTTTGCCTATTATTTGCCAGTACCATACTGCTTAGTTGTTAGAACTTTAAAGTAAGCTTTGGTAGTTACTTGGGTAAACCTCCTTTTATTATTATCCTTCACAATTGCCTTGTCTAATTTTCCATATATATATTTTTAGAATTAAGTGCTATGTAATTAAAATAACATTGTAGTTTTTTGTTGATGTATTCAATTTTGGTTTTTGAAAATATATATCTAGCAACCTCATTTTTTTTTTTTTTTTCCCGAGACAGAGTCTCGCCTTGTCGCCCAGGCTAGAGTGCGGTGGCGCGATCTCGGCTCACTGCAAGCTCCGCCTCCCGGGTTCAAGCAATTCTCCTGCCTCGGCCTCCCGAGTAGCTGGGACTACAGGCACCCACGACCACGCCCAGCTTATTTTTTGTATTTTTAGTAGAGATGGGGTTTCACCGTGATAGCCAGGATGGTCTCGATCTCCTGGCCTCGTGATCTGCCCACTTTGGCCTCCCAAAGTGCTGGAATTACAGGCGTGAGCCACTGCGCCCTGCCGAACCTGGATCTATTTTTATGTTAACTTTTCAGCTTGGTGGTTCCCAGGGTTTGGACTTCTCAGCCCACTCCAAGCCCACAAGCTTCCTCGTATTCTCTCCACGTCTGTGGGCTAATGTTTTTCTCATGCACCCCTTCACTGAGGGTGAAGGTCCTTCAAAGCCCTTCAAAGATCCTGGTGTTGACAAGAAATCTAATTCTACCTCCTTGCCTCACACAGCTTAAGGGCTCACCTTCCATCCCACTGTGGCTGTGAAAACCTGAGCTCTTACTGGGGGATGCTGCCTGTCCTCTAGCTCCACTGCCCCCATAGCCAGCAGTTCCAGCCCTTTACACTCTGACTTCAATTTCCTATTCATTTTTGGCAGTTGGAGGATTTCCCTTTATTTATCTAAAAACTGTGCTTTTAGAAATGTGTCTGATATTCATACGTGTTTATAATAGGAGGGCTATTTTCTTCCACTGTCTTCCTGGAATTGGAATTCTGCCATTAATTATAATAATACATTTTATGCAGTTTTAATTTTCACTGTACTTTTTTCTGTAAGAGTGTTATCTTTGGTGTGCTAGATTTTATATATACACTATCTTAATCTTCATTAATGTCTTTTGGACAGTGTGTTTTAATAAATCTGTTTCTTGATTTATTAAATCATTTGAATTATAAGTTTTGGTAAAAAGAAATAGCCTTAAAAGAATTATGGAACTTTTAATGGCCGTTAGTTACTTATACAGGTGCTTTATGATTACTGTTAATTTGTTTTTCTACCTAGATCCTCTGCCTTGTCAATGTTAGTCACAATGGTGTGAGTGAATCAGAACTGATGGAACTCTATCCTGAGATGTCCTGGACTTTCTTGACCTCCCTTATTCACAGTTTATACAAAATGTGTTTGTTGACTTATGGATGTGGCTTGCTTAGGTTTCAACATCTGCAGGTAATGTTATTTTAGGCATCTTTTTATTTATTTATTTAAGAAACAGGGTCTTCTCTGTCACCCAGGCTGGAGTGCAGTGGCAAGATTATTTCTGCCAAAGGAATAAATTCTAAAGATCTGCTATACAACATTGTCCCTATAGTTAACAATACTGTAGTACACTTAAAAATTTATTAAGAGGGTAGATCTCACGTTAAGTGGTCTTACCACAATACAATTTTTAAAATTAAAAAATAAGTCAGACACAAAAGATCAAAAAAAGTTTCTTAAAGGTAGTTTATTTCTTGAAGAGAAAAAAAGTCTTTTTCAATTATGTTTCATTGAATTGCGGTATTATTATACAGTCATGCATTGCTTAACAATGGGGATATGTTCTGAGAAACACATCATTAGGTGATTGTATCATTGTGTGAGCATTGTAGAGCGTACTTACACAAATCTAGATGGTACAGCCTACCACACATGGAGGCTATATGGTATGGCCTATTGCTCCCAGGCTACAAACCTGCACAGCATATTACTGTACTGAATACTGTGTGTAACTGTAAGTATTTGTGTATCTAAATACAGAAAAGTTACAGTAAAAATGTGGTATGAAAGTTTTAAAACGGTATGCCTGTATAGGGCAGCTTCATTATAATTTTATAGGATCATCATCATGTATGCAGTTTGTTGTTGACCAAAACATTGTTATGTGCACATGACTGTATATGTATTAAGAGTTTGGACTCTGTAAGCCAGTCAGCCTCCTTTTCATGGATTAATGCCTATCTAAACTTGGGCAAGATCTAAGCCCCAGGCGGACTTTGGCAGTTTATGAAAGGGGTTGTGAAGCAAATTAATTGAGGTCGTTCTTGGTCCTTGTGAGGTACTAGAAAGATGTTTAGCACATAGAAGTAAATCTTTAGGAAGTTTTGGCTAAAATAATTCCTATCATCTGCAATGCCATGGTTGATTTATATATATATACAATTGTAAATGAAGTCTTACATTTGAGTATGCTGTATCATATTTGTAGATGTGAAATGTTTGCAATTTCACAGCCTTTTTCCTTTCTTTATTGTGTATTGTTTGAATATAATTTATTCTTTTTAGTAACTTTTCATTCCACACTTCTGAGATTTTTAATGTATTAACTAAAGTTTGAATTAAATTGTGTTTTGAGCTTATAAATATTAGTACAGAAATTTTTATTCTAGTAACAGTTTATCAAATAAATATGTCCTAAATTTAAAAACATTTAAGTGACATTTCTATTATACAGCTATAAAATAGGAATAATTATAAATTCTTTTTTGCAAATCTCTTGTTAGATGTACAGTGACTTACGTGAAATAGAACTCAGTATTTCTTCTTTTTCTCCCTAGGCTTGGGAAACAGTGAGATTGGAGTACCTGGAAGGCCCCACTGTTACTTCTTCATACAGGCAAAAGCTAATCAACTATTTCACCTTGCAGCTAAGGTATTGTAAATGTTCCTGTTGTTCTTCTGTAACTTCTGCAACACACTACCTTTGTGTCCTTATTTCTGTTTCTTAGCTTACAACTTAAAGTACAAAAACTTAATTATTACAAAAAAGATTAAATCCTCTCCCTATTCTGTTAATGTCAAAAGAGCAAAAGATGATTTTGTCTTTTAATATTATGCTAAAAGTTTAAACAAGGAAAATCAATGTAGGATCATTTTATTATTTTTATTTTATTCCAATAGTTTGTGTCCATGTATCTGTATGTGTATATACGGGTCCATTGAGTGTTTTTTTAAATAGTTCAATTTTAGGAAAATACTTTTAGAGTTTGGTTGATGGTTCTGCATATCACTGAATTTATTTTCTTAGATTGGTAAAGTCTCTGATTTTGACCTAACTTTTTTAGTATTAAATTATACTTAAAGAATCAGAGATATATGTTAAATATTTTTCTTCCTTTGACATTTGCCTGAAGCCTTTTTGAAGCAGTCTCATTGTAGGAAGATATTGAATATTGTCTCCTCTCTTTTGATAGTCAGGACAGAGTGACTTGGAGAAGTGCAGATGAACTCCCGTGGCTTTTTCAGCAGCAGGGAAGTAAACAGAAGCTGCATGATTGCCTTCTTAATCTCTTTGTGTCTCAAAACCTTTATAAAAGGTAAGAAACATTATAGAACATCTTTCCCCAGAAAGAGAGATTTAAAGTTGTTCAGTTTAACAAAGAAAAAATGGTATTTTTAATTTAAAAATTAGTCTAAGTATCTGAAATACAAATAGTGTAGGAGAAATCTTGAGACAATTTACAAATCTCTATTAGATCTGCTTTTCCCAAGAGGAAAACATAGAGTACTGCTGCTTTATGAAATCAGAGCTGGAATGATTTCGGTTCAACTTTTTATCTTATGCTTACATTTAAGCATGTCTAAATTTAAACCACTCAGAGAGGTGGTTCGTAATGTCTGCTTCTTTGGGCCTTCAGATATCTGAAAGCGTAGCCTTCAAACCAGACTCGGGTCCAAGTAGAATCTGTCTGGTGTTGAATTTATTTGTTTTTGTTTGTTTGTTTACTTTCTATGTCTGGTGTTGAATTTAAAGAAAGAATTACCCTAATTCAAAAATGTATTCTGTTTGTCTCTTTTGATATGTTATAGTTTGTCAGTGGCAGAACTACCTTTTTATGAGGCAACTGTCTAACCTACTAAGCTTCATGAGGGTTTTTTTCTGCCTTACTTAGAGATTTAGACATTTCTTATACAATAAGTATCATAATTTATTTTGCTCCTACATAAACTCTCTCAAATTTGTTGCATCTCTTATTTCTGATCTCCATTCCAATTTTTCATGATTCCTTTGAAATCAGATATTTTTTAGTTTACCAGCCCCATACTACTTAAGATCGCCTACAGATGAATAAGCTTACTTTTGTCATTCAATTTCTTGATGAAAATACAAAGTAGATACTCTGTGACAGTTTATTTTTTATTAGTTTCTTCTCTTTGAATTTCCATACTTAAAATAATTTTGGGAGTGAACTCAGTGGTTGGCTCCATATTGTGAAATGTGTAAAAAGGATTCAGATAGATTCCCATTGGTAAGTAGCCATGATGGTATTAAGGATAACAGCCAACACCGTGGAGTACTTACTGTGTGCCATAATCCCCCTACAGTACCAGCTGAGGCAGGTAGTGTCTCCATTTCTGCAGATGAAGGTGATGAGGTCTAAGAGGTCAGATAACCTGCTCAAGATTACATAGCTAGGATAGTGGTGGAATTCAGATAGTGAGTGGTCTGAGTCTTACCTCATTACACAGTACTCGCCTACTAATAAATTGTCAATAACTTGATATTAATTCTGGAGTTTTGATTCTGTAATGGATTTTAAAGTGTGTTTTTCATTAAAGTACTGTTATTTGTTGAAACAGGGGACACTTTGCTGAGTTGCTGAGTTATTGGCAGTTTGTTGGCAAAGACAAAAGTGCAATGGCAACAGAATACTTCGATTCATTGAAGCAGTATGAGAAAAACTGCGAAGGCGAGGACAACATGAGTTGCTTAGCTGATCTTTATGAAACCTTGGGGCGATTTCTCAAGGATCTAGGCCTTCTCAGTCAGGTAAGCTCAGCAGATCAATGGCAAGCCAGAGACAGGTGGGATTTTTGTGTTCACTCTTCTCTTTTTCCAAGATGTTAATGTGGTTTTCATTTGTTGTGCTATAATCCTTAATATTTAATCAGATGACAGATCTTGCAGCATTTCACTCACTTTAACTGGCCTTTCACCCCTTTTCCCCCCAGGCCATAGTACCTTTGCAGAGGTCTTTAGAGATTCGAGAAACAGCTTTAGATCCCGATCACCCAAGAGTAGCCCAGTCCCTCCACCAACTAGCAAGTGTATACGTGCAGTGGAAGAAGTTTGGCAATGCAGAACAACTGTATAAACAGGCGTTGGAAATCTCAGAAAATGCTTATGGTGCGGACCATCCATATACTGCTCGTGAACTTGAAGCACTTGCAACTTTGTACCAGAAACAAAATAAGTAAGATTTTTTAGATCAGTAATACCTGATTTTATGCAGGGGGATTACAGTTTTAGTGTACTTATAGGGTAAGCTTTGTTTTATCACTGTGTACTTTTCCTTACCCTGTGCCTAGTCTTCATGTGGTAAACAGAGAAAATGAGAACTATAAGATTCATCTCTGTTTGAAGATGCATGAAGGATAGAACATGGACTTTCGAGTCATATAGTCTTGGGTTTGAATCCTGGCTCATTCACTGACTAACTTTGAGTGCTTTACTAATATAGGTTTAGTATCCTTTATCCAAATGTGGAACCAGAAATGTTCAGGATTTTGGATTTGTTCAGATTTCAGAATATTTGCATATATATAATGAGATATCTTGGGGATGGGACCCAAGTCTAAACATGAAATGTATTTTTCATATACACCTTATACACATAGCCTGAAAGTAATTTTGTGTACTAGTTTTAATTTGTGCATAAAACACAGTTTTGACTGTGGCTTGAGTTGACCCATCACTTGAGGTCAGGTGCAGAATTTTCCACTTGTGGCATCATGACAGCACTCAAAAAGCTTCTGATTTTGGAGCATTTCAGAATTTGGGTTTTCAGATTAGGGATGTTCAACCTTTATGGGGCCAGCAAACCATTGCCCATAGGCCAAGTCCAGTTGTGTAAATAAGGTTTAAAGGGAACACAGCCAAATTTTTTTCATGTATATATTATCCATGGTTGCTTCTGTGCTTCAGTGGCGGAGTTCCTCACTTGGAACAGAAAGCACACGGCCCACAAAGCCTAAAATATTAACTCTCTAGCCCGTTATAGAAAAAGCCAATCTCTGGTATAATAAAAAGTCTTTCTTATCTATCAGGCACCCAATGAATGGCATCTCTTCCTCTATTAAAAATTATTTCTTTTGCTCTATCATAAGTGATACATAATGGAATTTTTTAACTTATAGAAGTATTGCTTCGTACAAATTTTGTGTGAATTTCACATTTAAACTTGACCAGAAATTAGCCTGTGCAGAAAAAGTTGTTAATTAAAAATTATTAGTGTGCTATAGAAAACTGAAATTTTGACTTTTCATTTAGTTAGGTTGCCCTTCAGAGACTTAGGATGAGTTAAATTAGTTAAAGATGATCAGATGTCAGCTACTTAAAGGACTAGACTTGCTTTGTTTTGTCAAAATTTTTTTAATTGAACAGAACTTTTTATTAGAAAAACATCCATGATAGACTAAGATATCTTAGTGTTTTGTCATATTTTGTTTTATGAAAGGGTTTTTAGAGATTCTTAATGTCATGACTATCATTTCTAGAAAAAATGCTGTATTTAATAGCCCAAAAAGACTTTACACTATGAAAAGAGTGCTTTCATTTCACTGAAGTATACTTTGAATATGTTTCTTTTGTTTGACTTACTGTAATTTTTTTTTAAGATATGAACAAGCTGAACATTTTAGGAAAAAATCCTTTAAAATTCATCAGAAAGCTATAAAGAAAAAAGGCAACTTGGTAAGGAGAGATTTCTTTTGTGTTGTGTTTTGAACGTAAGAGGAAAAGAGCATCATAAATGCATACACCCCACATGTTTAAGAGCTTTAGATTTTAAAATCTTCTAGTTTTTTAGAAGAGAACTACTTAACATTTTCTTATTTATGTGTTAAAATATCATATTACTGAGAAGTACAATTTAGACTTTAAAAAGTGGAACTCTAAATTCATTTGAAGGTTAGATTTTGAAAGACGGAATTTAAAGCTACCTCAGTTCTTTAAAGGGTTGGAAAAAGGAATAAAATAAATTTAGTTAACATTTTGTGTTATGTTCAAATGTGAAGAAAGCCTTCCCCTCAAATACACAATAAAAGTTATTTTAATTTTTTTAAGTTGCTGATAAAATCTAAATGTAGCATATTTCTTTAATTTAAAATGCTGTGTGCATTTTTATGGACCTGATGTTTATGTGTTTACCTATGGGGTTGATAAATATCTGCAAATTAATTATATTCTATTATTTCTTGAAGCACTTTGAGATATAGTTTACTTTCTAAAATATAATCATTTTCATGAAATAGTTTTTAATGAATTTTAGAATGTGTTGCCATGTGGAAATATTTGTATTTGTAATCATCAAGTTAATTTAGTGTGATGCTTAAAATAATAGTTATCTAGATTAAATGGGAAAAAAGGAAGATTTTTTAGGACCCTCATATATTGTTTCAGAATCAAGGATTGCACCTACTTAGTGATTGCTTTTCATTTTTCATGTTTGCTGCAGTACGGATTTGCCCTTTTACGTAGACGGGCTTTACAGTTAGAAGAGCTTACATTAGGTAAGGACACACCTGATAATGCTCGGACCCTCAATGAACTGGGTGTTCTCTACTATCTTCAAAATAACCTGGAGTGAGTACCATGGGGTTAATAATGAAAATAATTAACCATTTTCTCTTTGATGCAATGCTGTTTTACATTTTTGTCAAGTCTAAAGCTAGAAAAAAAATGATAAAAACCACGCAAAATTTCATGTATGATGTTATATAATGAGCATACACATACCTAAAGACCATGGCATTTTCTCTACTGTGTTTCTTTTCACACTCTTTTTTTTTTTTTTGAGACGGAGTCTCGCTCTGTTGCCCAGGCTGGAGTGCAGTGGTGTGATCTCGGCTCACTGCAACCTCCACCTCCCATTCAAGCTATTCTCCTGCCTCAGCCTCCTGAGTAACTGGGACTACAGGCGCATGCCACCACGCCCGACTAATTTTTTGCATTTTTAGTAGAGACAGGGTTTCACTGTGTTAGCCAGGATGGTCTCGATCTCCTGACCTCGTGATCTGCCCGCCTTGGCTTCCCAAAGTGCTAGGATTACAGGCGTGAGCCACCACGCCTGGCCCACATTGTTTCTTAACTGAAAAGTTATTCTGTAGCTTCCCTGGTGTATTTTATATATTTATGAAAAGTGAGTTTGTGTAGATATTGTGCATAAGATCTCACAGAAGCAGCAGCTTGGGACTAATGGTAAATAATGTAGACGGTTTCTAGTTTTGTCAGTTTATTTGGGCAAAAGGATTCAAAATGACATTTATATTTATATGTTATAAAAAGTATTTTTGGACTTCATATATCAGAAAAATATAACAAATTTGAAACTTTGGATGTCAGAAAAGTATAATAAATCTGTAGCCCACTTACAGAAACTTATATAAAAAATAATGATTTATTCTTTTGTTAAAAATTATTTAGTACTGGCTGGGCATGATAGCTCATGCCTGTAATCCCAGAGCTTTAGGAGGCTGAGGCATTAGGATCACTTGAAGCCAGGAATTCAAGACCAGCCTGGGCAACATAGTGAGACCCTGTCTCTACAAAAAAAATTAATAAATTAGCCAGACATGGTGGTACACACCTGTAGACCCAGCTACTTGAGAGGCTAAGGTGGGAGGATCACTTGAGCCTAGGAGTTCAAGGTTACACACACGCACACATACAAAAAAACAAAATAAAGAAATAAAAATTATTTAGTACTAACTCCAAAGGGAGGAAGAGTGAATACAAAAATCTTTTATTGGACCTAGGTCTAATAATTTTTAAAGTATAAAAGTTTGTTTTGGAAAATATCTATCAGTTTTTCTTTCAGAAGTGGAGAATTGAGGCAATCATCCACACATTTTAGGCCCTCAAACTGTCAGGAAAAGGGCAGGAAGAGATAGGGGTGGGGAAGAGGGGGAAAGTAAGATTTTGAGCTGAATCTCTTATTTTAACTAGAATCTAAGAATAAAGATGAGTCAGTTCTCCACTTAATTTAGGGGTCAGGATTCCAAACTCTAGAAAATAGATAGTTTAAGCCATTTTGGGATTGTGTTCACAGAACAGCTGACCAGTTTCTGAAGCGTTCCTTAGAAATGAGGGAGCGAGTTCTAGGACCAGATCACCCTGACTGTGCTCAGTCTTTGAATAATCTGGCAGCTCTATGCAATGAAAAGAAACAGTATGATAAAGCAGAAGAACTTTATGAAAGAGCTTTAGATATTCGGAGACGTGCATTAGCTCCTGATCACCCTTCTTTGGCATATACGGTGAAGCATCTTGCCATCTTGTATAAGAAAATGGTAAGTAAGCTTTGACATTCTTACATGTTTTATAACATATCAGTTAAGCCATAACTACTATCAGCAAAATAATTTGTCTTTATGAGGGACAGGTTAGTTTATATGAGCTTTAAAAATCATGATTTAACTTTTAACAAGTAACTGAGCAGAACATTTAAAAATAATTATTTTATACTGAACTGGTTACATTGATTCTTGATTCTGAAATAATATACTAGTAAATTAATATGCTGGGTTTGTTTTGTTAAATACATTCCAAGTACAAATGCATTTATTAGCATTCTAATTCAAACTTATTTTACATTTCAGAAGTTCTAAAATTCCACCAATATTAAGTTTGCTGTGTAAAGCAACATAAACATAAGAAATCAGGAGATGTCTTTGTAGTTGATTAAATGAACATTTTTATTTCGTTCTTTCTTGGCTTTGCCTGTAATTAAATGTAACCATTGTTTGCCATAGGGTTCTATACTGAGTGATATTTGGGATTTTTATAGCTGTTCTCAAAAAAGAAAAAATTCCAGGGAAGCCTGCTTTCATTTAGCATAGTTACAGAGCTTTGTAGACTGTCTTTAGACTTTGTGGGTCCATTACTGGTCATCCTGACACCAAAGTTGTTTTAGTAAGAAGGGTACATTGCTGCTATTTCTGCCCAACTTTCAGGTGAAGTGAAGTAGTTAGAAAAATCTGGAAGGGATTTGGCAAGAAATGAGCTTTTTATTTTGATGCAGTCTCCAAATTATGTGCAATAGTAAATCTACTTCAGCTGATATGTTTTTACTACACTAGAAACAGTAATAGTGGATGATCCTAAAGGGTTTTCTGAATTATCAAAAATGCTTTTCTATACAGTGTAGCTTTAAATTTTCAGTTATCTATAAACTTAATCATTAAGCTGATAGGAAATGCTTCTGAGATTTTTTTCCCTCAAAATTACCCTTTAATATGAAATTTTACTTATGGAAAAAGCTCTGATAAGATAGTATTTATTGCCTTATATTTTTGTTAGATTTAACTCTTGTTTTTTAGGGGAAACTTGACAAAGCTGTACCTTTGTATGAATTGGCTGTTGAAATTCGACAGAAATCTTTTGGCCCAAAGCACCCTAGTGTAGCTACTGCCTTGGTGAACTTAGCTGTTCTTTATAGCCAAATGGTAAGTTCCCATATTTTAACGTTGTATCAGTGAATGATTTTATGGTATAAAACATAGGTAAACATGAATTAGATAGGGAACACTAAATAGAATGAAAGACAATTTAAGGATATTTCTAATACTTCCTTTAGTACTTGAGAAACTATTGAAGTTAGACTTGTATGAAGGTCCCTTCCTCTTAGTGTAAAACACTGTTAGTTCAGAGCATAGGCTTAGTTTCTAAAATTCTGGAGATACCCTACATCCCTCCATATAATATTTATTTAAGTATTTAAGCCTGTGGCATTTGATTATGATGGGTGAGAATCAGGTGGGGGAGCCATTGGGCAATAAAGGAACAGGTTTGTGCTTACAGTATTGGATTATGGTCAAATGGTTACCAAGCCAGGTCTAAATCTTAAGTATCTGACTTTCTATTATACTGCTTCTCCTATGATTATTCATAAGTTAATCTGTTTATTCCCATCTTTTAGGAGGATATTAACATTTTAAAGTACTAATCAAAGTAGGTTAGCTTAGTCTAGAATACATTAATTTCAGAAACCCAGTGTGCATGAGCATTATCATTTTTTTTAATAAGAAAAAACACGTTGAAGCTTTGCCATTATATGAAAGAGCATTAAAGATTTATGAAGATAGCCTGGGTCGGATGCATCCTCGAGTTGGAGAAACACTGAAAAATTTAGCTGTGCTTAGGTAAGAATTTTTTTCACTTTCCTTATACAGCCTCTTTTATTCGAAGTAGCTTTGTCTTAGAATAGCACAAAATATGTATTACTGAATGTTTTTTCTTAGAGTGGGGAGGGGTTGTTTTTTGCTGACTGACTTCAAGAAGTACTGAAGTAGTATCCAGAAATGAAATGAAGCCTGCATGATCTATTTTGCAGAGGAGCATATGTATGCATCATGGCAAACAGTGAAGGATGGTTTATACTACATCTGGCTCTGGGAGTAATATGGGTAATTTGCTGTCCCCAGAGTGAAGTTGCCATTAAGTATATGTTGACTTTTGCTTGCTCATTTGTATTTTTCTCAGGATGCAGAGAATACCTAACTTTGCTTAGCAATTTCACTGCCTCTATTACAACATGGTTTTAATGATATCCATATGAGACACAAAAATACTGATACTGGTAGAAAGGAGAAGAGTTTGGGTGTTGTTTTACTGGTCTGCTTGAGTGAATACACTGGAAAAAGAGGGGAAATGGGCAAATATTTACAGCTTCTTTTTCTGTATCCCATAAGGTCATTTTGAATTGGTAAGAGGTTATATTCTCATTTTAAGAGTTTTTGTTTTCTCTCTCAAAGCTATGAAGGAGGAGATTTTGAAAAAGCTGCTGAATTATACAAAAGGGCAATGGAAATAAAAGAAGCAGAAACATCACTCTTGGGTGGAAAAGCTCCTTCACGCCATTCATCAAGTGGAGACACGTTTAGCTTAAAAACAGCTCATTCTCCTAATGTTTTCCTTCAGCAAGGACAAAGGTAATAGCAGCAGTTAGAATTCTTTGCAAATGTACCTTAAGACAAAATAATTAAACATTTGGAACATTTGAATTTGAAACTTTAAAAAAATGTTGTACGAAATTTTACTACGTGTGATTTAACTGCTATTTGTATGAAGTTGTATTGGATTACATTAAGTTGGAATTGTGATTATGTCTGTTTTAGTTGTTTAAAAGAATTTTCCTATTATATGGTATCCAAGGATGTAGACACATTAGAATTATAAGAAGACATGAGGAGCAAATCATGAAGAGCGGATTGGTCTTTGTTCAACAAGAGCTGGCAGAGTAGTTAAGACAAGGAGTTCAAAAATTCCATGAATCTTGGCCAGGCATGGTGGCTCATGCCTGTAATCCCACCACTTTGGGAGGGTGATGCAGGAGGATCACTTGAGGCCAGGAGTTGGAGACCAGCCTGGCCAACATGGTGAAACCCTGTCTCTACTAAAAATACAAAAAAAAATTAGCTGGACCTGGTGGCGCATGCCTGTAATCCTAGCTACTCAGGAGGCTGAGGCATGAGAATCGCTTGAACTCAGCAAGTGGAGGTTGCTATGAGCTGAGATTGTGCCAGTTCATTCCACCCTGGGCAACAGGGTGAGACTCTGTCTCAAAAAAAAAAAAAAAAAAAAAAAGAATTCCATGATTCTTTTGAGCTCTCAAGAGCTACTTTAGCCTTGCCATTCCTCTTGCTTTTCAGCAGTAGTCTGGCCCAATTCTCTACCTCAAAGGAAAGTTTCAAGGATTAAAGGGTTAATGTTTATGAACGATTCAAATTGTCTTCAGTGAAACACATTAGTCACAAGAATCCCTGATTGCTGCACTTTAAAAAATTCTTTACCTTTTCCTTGAGCAGATTGGTCCAGTCCCTCTGCTTTCTGTTCTGTCTACATTGTGTATTATTTATTACTATATAGTATATGTATCTGCATAATGTCTGAAGTCATTAATGCAGTAACAGGTCAAGCTCTTTAGCATTCTTTGACTTTTCCCAAAATATAGATATGACATTCTCCTTTATCTTCCTTCTTAGATGGCCTAAATCTGTCTCTTCATTTACCTCAAACTCAAATTAGTATGCCATTTTCATACTGAAAATTAAATATTTTTATGGATTTTATAAATATTGCAACATTTTAGATATTGTTTTGGACCATTTGTGTATTTATATATAATAAAATCATCAATTTAATACTTGTAAGATCCTAACATGTATTGATTGTAAAAGTGAAATATGTAATAGCCACACTTCACTGTTTTAAAATAAAAGTGCAATTTCAAGTTCTTTTTTCCCCACTCTAGTTTATACAAGAGGGCTGTTTTGCATGATTTTTAAAGAAATACGTTGAACTTTTTTTAGAACTTGAAATGGACCGGGCGCGGTGTCTCATGCCTGTAATCCTAGCACTTTGAGAGGCCAAGGCGGGAGGATCATAAGGTCAGGAGATCAAGACCATCCTGGCTAACACGGTGAAACCCCATCTCTATTGAAAAATACAAAAAACTAGCTGGGCGTGGTGGCACACACCTGTAGTCCCAGCTACTTGGGAAGCTGAGGCAGGAGAATCACTCGAACCCGGGAGGCGGAGGTTGCAGTGAGCCGAGATCACACCACTGCACTCCAGCCCGAGTGAGACTCCATCTCAAAACAAAACAAAACAAAAAACAAAACCTTGAAATGTTGTCAATACTTGCTGCTCAGTAGTTTGCTCAGCTTAAGGTTTTGGTTAATGTTCTCTTAAGGCCGAGTTACTATTCACAGGGTAGTCCACAAATCATTGTCACCACCACCTGGCAGCTTATTAAAAATTCAGACTCTCAGGCCTCTCCCCAAACCTACTGAATGAATCTGTATTTTAGCTAGATCCCAAGGTGACTAATGTGCACATAAGTATGAGAAGCAGTGGTATAACTCTACGGCACTATAGTGGTAATTTAAAAAGAAATGAGGCAGTATATAATGAGCATCCTTCTTCCTCCTTTGGGAGTAGTTCAAGAGGGAAAAATAGAAGATAAACTATAACCATAACATACCTTTCTGGGTTTGGCAGCTGTGAAAGACACAAAGTAATTGAAAACACAAATATACCAGACAATGATTTTAGAATTAAGCTGTTAGAGCTTAGAATTTGATTATTTAGTGGTACAAGTCATTTAATACATAGCAAGTAATGTGTTCGGTTTATCACCTTAGAAAAACTGCTTTAGAAAATAATGAGACCAGTACTCTAGAAGAACCCTGATAAAAGGAAAAACTACCTTAAGAATATTATTTATTCTTTGTACCTCCAAAATTTGTGCCTGAATAACTGTAGTTGGAGACATGATCACTCAAAATTATGTATTCCAAAAGAATGAAATTTAAACATAATAAACTATTTTGATATTACTATTTATTTTACTACCAACCCAAACGTTCTCATGTAGAATGCATACTTAAGAAGATAAAAATAGCTGGAACATCTTTGTGTATGCATATTTGAAGTTCTCAAATAGGAATATTTTCTTCACATTAATATGCACTTTCACAATGAAAAAGGTAGCTTTCAGACAACTCAATTATAAATCTGAATTGTTAGAGTACTTATTCTAGTTATAATTTTTATTCATCAATACCTTTTTTTTTGAGACAGAGTCTCACTCTGTTTTCCAGACTGGAGTGCAGTGGCACTATCTCAGCTCACTGCAACCTCTGCCTCCCAGGTTCAAGCGATTCTCCTGCCTCAGCCTCCTAAGTAGCTGGGATTACAGTCACGCACCACCACGCCCGGCTAATTTTTGTATTTTTAGTAGAGACGGGGTTTTGCCATGTTGGTCAGGCTGGTCTCGAACTCCTGACCTCTTGACCTACCCACCTCAGCCTCCCAAAGTGCTGAGATTACAGAAAGGGAAATATGAAAAAAATGTGATGCAGGGGTCAAAGCTTCCTTTAGTAAATATTCTTGGCTGGGCGTGGTGGCTCACACCTATAATCCCAGCACTTTGGGAGGCCAAGATGGGTGGATCACCTGAGGTCAGGAGTTCAAGACCAGCCTGGCCAACATGGTGAAACCTCGCCTCTACTAAAAATACAAAAATTAGCCATGCGTGGTGGCGGGCACCTGTAATCCCAGCTACTTGGGAGGCTGAGGCAGGAGAATCGCTTGAACCTGGGAGGCGGAGGATGTGGTGAGCTGAGATCGTGCCACTGCACTCCAGCCTGGGCAACAGAGTGAGACTCTGTCTCAAAAAAATAAATAAATAAATAAATATTCTTAAGTGGCCATTACGTTTTTTGTGTTGTTCAGTGTACGTATCCAGGGAGTATTTTTATGAGAAGAAACTAGTAATACTTATTTTCTCTACAACATTTAAGTAGAACCATAACTAACTTCCCATTAACAATAAGACAGGAATTAAAGTTGAATATGTTGTTTTACTATCATTTAGAGTCTCTGTGCTAAGCCAATTCTGGGACTGCTTTTCCATCTTTCACATTAGAATCAATAGTGTTTACAAATCTGGACAAATGCTATGAGTTTAGTAATACTAAATTCAATGATGATTAATTTTTCGTAATCAGCTGCCTTCTTATGCAAGTTTTCATGGCATACAGACTGTCAAGAGAGTATTCTAGGATAGCAACATCTCTATTACCAGATTTTTTTTCTGGTTAAATAATCCAATTGTTTTTAATGAAAGATATTAGACAAAAAAAGTTAGGTCAATTAGGTAACATTTGGTGCAGTGTAAGACACAGGCAGTGATGCAATGCCAACTTGAGAGCAGATAAAAGAAGACAGTGAATTCTAGATGTGATACTTTATCAAATTGTAAAATTTTATAAAACCTTACTAAATTGATATGCAAGAATTTCCAAAGGAAATTTATTTTTGAAAAACTGCATTTCATTTTTTAAATTCAAAACATCTCTCATACTAGAAAAGCTATTTTACAGTTCAATAAGCTAAATTTTTAAAAAATGATAGAAGACTCACCAAGGCAACATAAATAAGTTTCCAGGCTAAAAAAACTATCCTTCTGCTTTCCAGACTTTACTATAAACATAAGAATCACAGTATAATCCTAGCATCTCAAAACTAATATATTGAAAACATTTGGTAGTTGAGACTTTCTGAAATCAGTTTTTTGAACTTTATTTTACAATCAGGGATGTACTTTTAATTTTTTACAACATTTTCTCCCTAGAGATATAATTTAGATATTCCTATCTTCAAAGTAAAAATCAAAATAGGAAATAAGCATAGAAACAGCCTATTGGCAGTGGTTACACCTGCATGGTATTTATGAGTCTCCAAACTATTGGAAATTTATTTCAACCAAGGTTCTCTTAAGTCTTCATTACTTGGGTGTAACTCGAGAGAAAACTAATTTATATCAATTTACAGTTTAGTGGTCATGATCAGGGGAAAGTGATACTCTTCCACTGACTACAAGTCATTGCAGAGGCAGTTTAGAACTTTTCCTTTATTCCTAATATACAGGACAAACCTTGCCGACATCTCACTACCTCGAAAATCAAATTTAAATGAAGTATCCAGGAGTAGCCTAAAGAATGAGTGTAATCTGGATGGATTTTAGTCTAAATTTATGCCTTGCTCTTCAGTAAAGTATAGTAACTCCAGATATATGTTCCACAGATGCAATAATTTCTGTTCCTTGTTCGGTGCAGAATATAATTTATACTTCCTGAAATCAACTTTGTCTATTCATGAAAATAGCTGCTTTTTATTTGCCTTTGTCTCACTTTGAATATATATGATCCACAGGTTACAGACTTTTCCAATAACTACATTTCAACTTGTACTTCATCAGCAAACATTTGAGAGGATGTTATTTCATAGGTTAACTATTTTGAATTCATTGTTGATCAAGTTAGTAGTAGTGGGCAATTTTCTTATAGAAAGCAATTCCAAACATAATGAGCAGATGCTTGCCAGCTCTAATCAATAAGCTGTATGCCTTGTCCTTCTCCCTGTATCTGAGGATCATATACTACTTTATTGTCCATGTCCTCATGCAACAGACACAAGGGATTACTGGAAAGAAAAAGATTACAGGATCAGATTTGTCCTTCCCCCACTCCAAAAGGCCAAAACATTTCAACAGCTATGTTTTCAAGTAAGATTTATATCCTACAATATCCTTTGAGGTTTTCTTACTAGAATGAAACACATTTTAGGAGAGTTAATGATTTCGTTGGAGCGGGGAGAAACAGGCAAGTCACAGGATTTTCAAAAAGTATAACAATTCAGGTAAGAATATACATTAATTAATGTTGCCCTAAGTTTTATCAGTTAAAATTTTTTTTTAATTTCAAGGGAAGAGGCTTTAACATGAGAAATACAATATATCCCAGTCCATTATCTACATATTCTTCATTTTGGCCATGAGGTCTTCCAAGCTTTCACCAGAATCTTCCACTGTTAACTCAGTGACAGAATCTTCTTGCTATTGACAAATAAGGGAAATACAGTGAAAAAAGAACCATATAGAATTCTTGATGCTTAGGAATATATAATCAGCAAGTTTTGACCATGCTCAACAAGGTTATAAAGTAAATTTTCTTTAACAACTATCTTCTAATTTTTAGAAGAAAGACAGAGTCTTTTACATTCCTCACCAGTCTTTTGATTTACAAGGCAGTAATTTCAATATTCTTGACAGCTCTAGCTTTTTAAACGACATCGTAGCTAAAACTACCGATAAACAAAAATGAGATCTTCATTTAATCAAAATCTACTATACTTGGTTCATTAATGAGTGAACAAAACCATTTTATTCTATGTTTTAAAAGTTTAAGCTATAAATATTTGCATATTAACACTGCATACCTCTCTCTCACATCTTAATGCCTATAGCATAAAATATCTAAAACAGGAAATACTTCATTGGCATTACAAATTAGAATGAAGATGATAAATATTTTATATGATATTTACATATGGGTAAATCATATTTTTGAAGTACCTTTTTTGGAATTGTGTATGCCACTGTAATTCCTTCAGGTAAGTCTGGAACTGGACCTGAAAAATTTTTCAGTTCCTCTTCTGAAACCTCAGATACCAGCTCAATACCTGTAAATTTGATCCTATGTCAGTTTTTAAGGAATTTAATAAGCAATAATTATTCAATTTGTATAATCTTATTAGATTTGCTACCATAAAAGGTTTTGTTTTATACTGCCATTTCAATTTATAAAAGAATACCTACCCCATTCATTATCTTCATGGATTATCTCTTCCTCTTCTTGTATAACCTCTTGTTTAGGCAGTGCTGCTACCTTTTTCTGTAGAAATCAAACAGCATCAAAGTGTTCTTACTCATTCTCAGTTCTCTAAAGCATTAATCAAGAATTCAGACAGGCTTTTTATCTTACCAAAAGCAAGAAAGAACATTCATTTTTGAAGTATGGTGAATAAATTAACCATTTATCTTGTATTCCAAATCTGTTTATGTATTGTCCTATTCAATATGATCCCTCATGCATTCTAACAGATTGTCATATACCTTATATTCCTCCTGCTGCTTCCTGCAATTTCTGTCATCACACTGAGGATTTGGCTTCATGGACATAGTAGGAAAAAAATCCTGCATTGCATTGTATCCAAGGTAAAAACTAACAGTACCAAAATTTAACAGAAACCTAGAAAAATCAAAATAGACTTAAATAAAGAAATTTAAAACATGAAAAATACTAGAACACCTAAATTTTTTAAAAATAACGTTGAAATAGGTAATTATATATTTTTTTTAACCAGAAAACAGAAATCTGCATCCAGAAAACAGAAATTTTATCTTATTTACAGTGCCTGGCTCATAGTAGATACTTCAGTGTTTATTGAATGAAGGAAAGAAAAGATTACTCCATTTCATCAACTGTAGAACACACTATTTTTTTGAACCTCTAATAAAGATAAAATGCTGGCAGCTAAACAATTACACGTCAACAACTTCAAGAAGCATGCTGATTTCAGAGAAGCTAAAATGTGGGAGAAGTGTATTTTTTAAATCCCTGAGATAATTAAGAAAGCTACTTAATTTTAACATTTTGTATGTAACTTACTATAAAATGCACAATCTTAAATGTATAGCTCAATAAAATTTTGTATGAGCCTTTCATGTAACCATCACCAGATCAAGATACAGAACATTTTCAGCATCCCATGTGCCTCCAGCTCCCTCCTGCCCTCTTCCCAGTCAAATCTGATACTTTTTACTCTGTTGCCCAGGCTGGAGTAAGGTGGCGTGATCATGGCTCACTGTAGCCTCGCCCTCCCAGGCTCAAGCAATCCCATCTCAGCCTCCCAAGTAGCTGCGACTACAGGCAAGCACCACCACGCTTGGCTAATTTTTGTATTTTTTTTTTGTAAAGATGGGGCTTTGCCATGTTGCCCAAGCTGGTCTCAAATTCCTGGGCTCAAGCAATCCGCCTGCCTTGGCCTCCCAAATTGTTGGGATTACAGGCGTGAGCCACTGCACCCGGCCAATCTGATGTCTTTTATTAGGTTGGCGCAAAAGTAATTGCAGTTTTTGTTAAAAGTAATGGCAAAATCCACAATTACCTTTGCACTAACATAATAAAAGCTTCTATACAGAGAAAATCACATAAAAAAGATAAATGACAAAAATATTTGCAAATACACATTCTTAATATACAAGACAAAAAAGAGCAACAACTATTAGCAGATAATTCACAGAAGAATGTAAGTGTTCAACCTTTTTCACAAATAAAAAGAAAAATTAAATGCCTGTTTTTTACCCACCAGAATGACAGATTACAGAGTTTGATGATACTCAAAGTTATCAAAGGTATGGGTGAACCAGGTACTCCTAAACTATGATACAAATGTATAATCCTTTTGCAGGAGAAATTTAGTAAATATTTCGTAAATTCAGAAATTCTACTTTAAAAAATGTGTACTATAGGCCGTGTGCAGTGGCTCATGCCTGTAACTCCTAGCACTTTAGAAGGTCGATATGGGCAGACTGCTCGAGCCCAGGAGTTCAAGACCAGCCTGGAAAACAAGGAGACTTTGTTTCTACAAAAAATACAAAAACATTAGCTGGGCGTGGTGGTGGGTGCTTGTAGTCACAGCTACCTGGGAGGCTGAGGTAGGAGGATCACTTGAACCTGGAAGACTGCAGTTAGCCGAGATTGTGCCTTTGTGCCTCTGCACTCCAGCCTGGGTGACAGAGTGAAACCCTGTTTAAAAAAAAAAAAAAAAGTACTATAGAAAACTCTAGGCTGGGCACAGTGGCTCACGCCTGTAATCCCAACACTTTGGGAGGCTGAGGTGGGCAGATTACTTGAGCTCAGGAGTTCAAGAACAGCCTGAGCAACATGGTGAAACCTTGTCTCTACAAAAAATACAAAAATTAGCCAGGCATTGTGGCATACACTCGTACTTCCAACTACTTGGAAGGCTGAGGTGGGAGGATCACTTGAGCTCAGGAGGTTGAGGCTGCAGTGAGCCATGACTGAGCCACTGAACTTCAGCTTGGGCAACACAGTGAGACCTTGTCTCCAAAAAAACAAAAAGAAGAGTGATCAATCTAGTATTCAAAGATATATACAAGATGTAGCCTATAGCATTGTTAATAAAAAAGAAAAGAATTAAGTAGCCTAAATGACCATCAATAGAGGGGCTAGCTAAATAGGACACATCCTTAAGGGAATACTTTGTTAGCCATGATTCTTTTCTCCTTTTTTGTATCATACTATAAAATGTTTTGTTTAGACAGGGCCTACTACTGTCTAAACAGGCTATTTGCTCTTATATGAAATAGCCCTAGACCATTACTTTGAGAGTTTATATGTATGCTTTTTTCAATTTCTTTGCTCGCAACTGACACTTCTTATTGATTGGTACCTCCTTGTGTCTTGTTGCAGTTTGTTCTTATTATATTGGAGGCTTAGGGAATACAACTAAGCTTATTAAAGTTGTAAAATGAGGGAAAATAAATAGCCTGAATTAGAGAACACCTAAAGGGGCTCTGCTTTTAATAAAGTATGAGTTGATTCATAAACTGTGACATAAATTTCAGCAGCAAAGAAATCTTTTTCCTTCTTTTTAGCTACAGTTTAGATAGTACAGTTGCTGGATATTTGTTTTTGGATAGCAGAGGTATCTAAAAGCAGATTTCAAGAATCTTTTTTAAGTACTGTTAATGTGTTTTATATTAACACTAATATAAATGTTAACATTTTATGTAAATGTAAAATTTACAGTAACACTAATGTTTAATTACATTAACAATAATTACTGTTTAGTCACATTGGTTTATTTTTGGTAAGACTTAAATCAAGATAGTAGAAACAAGTGTGTTTAAGTCTCCATCCACTGGACAGACTTGCAAAGATTTAAATCATTCAGTTAATGTTTCATAAATAAATATGCCACTACCATTGTATCATTTAATAAAAGCTATTCCAAATGCAGGGAGTAACTGACATTCACATATATTCACGTATGAATATGCACACATGTATTATATGTAATATTTAATATAGCAATATATATGAAAAGTAGACATACATATATAAAATAGAATTTGCACATATACATATATAAAACATTTAAAACTACATTTAAGTTTAAAGTAACTAAATTATATACTTAGCTTGTAATTTCAGTTTCTGAAATGCTTTGTGAAATATATTTATGTTTACTGAAAGCATACAAGACTATTCAGAAAAATTAGCCCTGACTTACTTTAACACGTTTTGTACTAAGATCCCAGCAACCACACCCATAGTGGTAGGAAGACTGGCTGCACAAACACCTTCTCGTTTCAGAGTCTTTTCATCAATATTTGCAGCAACTACAAGTGGTGGAGCACACTACATGAAAAATAAAACACATTTCAAAAAAAAAGAGAAAAAGTATGAGATGTTCCAAATAGTATTCCATCCAAGTTTGCTTTTTCTTTGAATTGTAATACATTTTCAATGCCCCTAAGAACTCAAGTATCTAACAGTGAAGAATATTCCAAAAAGAATAATGCATACCGCAAAACAAGCAGATTCTCCAGGAATTATAAGCTGTATATGCCCTGAAACTGCATTTTCACTGACCCCAGATTCCATCCATGTTTGTCCAAGTTCATTACAAGCCTTAGTAGAAATGGGTGAAAACATAAGGAAAAAAAATAAAAGAGCAAGAAGTAATTTACAATAAATTCTTTTAACTGAATGGATTACCAAGGTCTTTTAAAATTAATTTTCAGAACAAATGAGGCAAGTTGTAAGATAATGGAATTCCTTGGTAATTACCATACTCTATTTAAAGAGTAGAGTGACAGTATTCAAGACGCAGTCAGTAAATATTATTAAATTGAATCAAAGTTTATTGGATTTCTTGTCAAATTAATGTGAAATTTCACTTTTCTAAAATCATTGCAGGAACAAAAAAAATGCCAAAATATCATCTGAAAAGTTAAAAACAATATTCAAAAGGAAAATAATTTTTTTTTGAGAAACCAGGTTTTCAGGCAATTTATACATATTTATACATTTATAAAATAACAAAAGCTAAAACTAATGCTGACCAAGATTATAAGATACTAATTTAAGAATTATACATCAGAGGTATTTGCTGTTTTATAGTTTACCAGCAAAAAGAGTAGGATACTGTAACACATGTCACAGCAGCAAGGCTAGACAGTCTAGGTCCCACAGCTATTAGAATAGATTTTAAGAGTAGGCTAAGAGAACATTACAAATAAAACACAGAAAAGGGTTTACATTCAGAACTGTTTTTAGGATGGGGATTATATACTGATAGAATATACAGGAAAACAGATAAATCCATGAATATATCTTGCACAGCAGGAATACTCACTGTATTTATTGTCATTCGAGCTTCAAAATTGTCCACACAGCTAAGAACTAGATCAACAGGTTTTCCTTCTTCTAACCCACCATTACTAGTCAAAGAAAATAAGTTTGAAAAACATCAGGACACAAAATACACTCTAATACATTATACTTACTTGTTCAGTCCAACACTTATTCTTTCATTAAATGTTTGACTATAATTATTACATAATAAATATGTAATATTAAAGATATCATATATATCAAGTATTGAGTAACTTATGAATATAACATCAATGATACTACAGTATCATTGTAGTATTACTTATTTTACAAGAACTACAAGGGTGAAGGAAGTATAAAGTATGTTCACAACAGTTATTTTTTCACTACCAGCTTTCACATTTTTATTCATGCTTCATTACAAATGTAATAAAAGCTAATTGAATGCAACTCATTATTTCAGTGGTGGTCTGACAGTCTCTGAAGAAAACCATTTTCAGACAGAAATATAATCTAGAACACAGAACTTAAAGTTGACATTCTCTTCTTATATTGTAACTTACAGGGGTTTTTTGCTTGTTTGCTTTTTATTTTTAATTGTTTTTGGACAATATATACCTTTAAATGATATTCTAATACATAAAAATTACACAAAAATTGCTGTACTAAAAAAATGGAAAAATATATATCAATCTTCCATTCATTGGATTAATCCATAGATTTTTCTAATAATTTTCTAATACTTGAGCTGGACATTATACAAAATATTCATAAATTAAAATTTTACCTTATTCTATCCATGAAATGTTGAAAGTTTTCCACTGTGGTTATATTATAGTTGTGTACTTCAAAAAGAACATCAGGATTAATGTTCCTAAGAAGGAAAAAGGGAATGATTATAAGCCTGTAATCCTAGCATTTCAAGAGGCTGTGGTGGGAGGATTACTTGAGTCCAGGAGTTCAAGGCTACAGCGAGCTATCATCGCACCCACTGCACCCCAACCTGGGGGACAGAGTGAGACCCTGTCTCTAAAAAAATGTTTTTAAAAAGACTACTACTAGTAGCTGTAGTAAGAAAAAACTGTGAGGAAAAGAGATGAAAGAGCTAAAGGGCATTTAACATACCTTAGAGAAGCGAATTCAAGCTATTCAAAGAAAACCCAAAGTCCTTTTCTGTCTCTTTTATCTCACACTTCAAGGACTAGGTTCATTTTTGTCATAAAGATTACAAAACTGTTCCCACCCCAATCAATCTAAGTGTTGGGAATTAAGACTTAACCATGTCCAGTAACTACCTACAACTCAGCCTCACTTCCTTACTCAGTTAACAAATTTGGGGCCACAAAGGAAATTCCTAAAGCAGGGATTGGTGAACTGTGGCCCATGGGCCAAATCTGGCCCACCACCTGTTTTTGTGCAGCCTTCAGACTAAGAATTTTTTTTCATTTTTAAGTGGTTGGGAAAAGAAATCAAAAGAACATTTATGACTATAAAAATTTTATCAGCCAGGAACAGTGACTCATGCCTGCAATGCTAGCACTTTGGGAGGGCTAGGTGGGCAGATGGCTTGAGTCCCAAGAGTTTGAGACCAGCCTGGGCAATGTGGCAAAACCCCATCTCTGCTAAAAATGCAAAACATTAGCCAGGCATGGTGGCACGTGCCTGTAGTCCTAGCTACTCAGGAGGCTGAGATGCGAAGATAGCTTGAGCCCGGGAGGCGGAGGTGCAGTGAGCCGAGATTGTGTCACTACACTCCAATCTGGGTGACAGAGTGAGACTGTCTCAAAAAAATTTTATTTTTTAATTAAAAAAATTAAAAATTGTATGAAATTCAAATTTCAGAGTCCAAAAATAGAATTTTCTTGGAGCACAGACATGCTCATTCATGTTTGTTTTGCCTACAGCTGCTATCAAACTGCAACTAACAGTTCCAACAGAATATCTGGCCCTCAAAGACTAAAATATTTATTATCTAACCTATACATAAAAAGTTTGCCAACCCATGTCCAACAGGTAAGAGAATTCTTTGTACAAGTGAAAACTGCATTTTATAGAGAAAAATTAAGATTCATTTATATTAACTCATATCAAATACATAAAGTAAGATTTCACTGAATATGGTACTTGATTGCTATTCCATTTACCTCAGAGTATGTTCTGCTGCTTGAACTTTACTTAATCCTGCTTGATGAGGTTGGAAGAAAAGTCTATTCATATTGGCTAGTTCCACCTTGTCATAATCAAAGAGTAGCAACTAAAATGAAAATAGTGGTATTCTGATGAAAAACATACCAAAAAACTAAACATATCAAAAAATAAATTAGAGAGCTTTACATTTAATTAGTTTAGCAGTTTGATAATAATATTAGCTAACTCTACAACACTAGGTGCCATATATTAATTCATTGAATGCTCATGTGAGGCATGTAGGTACTATTATCCTTATTTTTAAAATGAGGCAACTACAACACTTGTCCAAAGGCCACTCATCTAATATGAAGTGAAAATGGGATTCAAATTCAAGCATTCTCAATCCAGCATCTGCACCTCAACCACAATGCTGTGCTGCCTCTCTAAATAATTTACTCAGAAATTAAGATTAATTCCCTTTCATTCCATTTTTTAAATCTGTGGCAAAATCCTACTTCATTTCCATTTTTTTGCTAAAAGCCAGGAATCCATTGGATAAATGAAATCTTTAAATAAGATGAAAACAAGTGCTGTAACTTAAAATATAGTATAACCTGACTCCTTTTGTGTATATGACAAAATATATACCAGTGACATGGCTAAAACATTATTCCAAATAGAATTACAAACCAGTTAATTGTTGTTTCCTGCTATACACTTAAGCCTGTTTCAAAAAGCATTTGTCACACACACACACACACACACACACACACACACACACACTAAAATGGCCATTAGATCACATTTCTTATCAGTAAGAACAGGCTAGAGCCAAGGACTTCCTGTCCCTTCTTCATATGAAATTCTGTGACTCTTTAATACAATTCTCAGCACACTAAACAATAAAAACAAAAATGGGATTTTCTTTTCAATAAAAAACTAAAAAGAAAAAAAATTAACCTAACCCATAACACCTAGATAGCCCTTAATACTAGAAAAGATCTCACACTCTCCAAAATTTTCTAATCCTACGTAAGAGTCTCCAAAACATAGTTTCTTTAAGCTCATCAATATTTATTAGGTCAGGCCAAGTATTAAATGAGTTTCTGCCTCATAGCTTGTTTATACATAAGTTGCGGGAAACATTAAACTTGGGAACAGAAGGTCTGAGCTGTAACTCTGCCACTAATTAGCTCTGATTGTGGGTAAATCACTTTCACTTTTTAGGCCTGTATCTTCATCTCTAAAATAAAGCAGCGAATATAGATCTGGTGATCCAAGGCACCCCAGATACTTTAAAGAGATCCAAAGGCTTTCAGGGATAAGAAATGGACTCTGGGTTTCCTAACATCTTCTACTTTCCTATTTAACCTCATTAATTCACTTCGTATTTATCTGTTTTACAAATTAAAGAAAGACTTCCTGAAACTTACCTGTGTAGATTCTCAGTTTACAAACTTGAGGGCACACTGGAATCACTTGGAGAATTTTTAAAAATACAGATGTTTGTGCCTCATCCCCAGAGACACTTATTATGGGGTGCAGTCTGGACACCAGAATTTTTTAAAACTTCCCAGGTGATTCTAACTACAGCAATATATAACTACTGTTCTACCTCTTTGCTACTCAAAATGGCGTGGTCTAGCTGCATTAGCATCACCTGAAGCTTGTTAGAGATGCAAGAGCACTTCTCCAACTTTAATATGCAAATGAATCATTTGGGGATTGTGTTAAAATACACATTCTGATTCAGTATGTCTGAGGTAGGTATTGAGAGCTGATACTGATGTTACTACTTCAGGGACTAGACTTGGAGTAGAGCAAGGATCCAGTGGTTCTTACTGGTGTAATCCTAGCAACATCAGCATCAGGATCACCTGGGAGCTTGTTAGCAATGTCAATTATGAAGTCCACCTGACACCTATAAAAATCAAAACCACCAGAGTAGGATCTGTTAATCTGTGCTTTAATAAGGCTTCCAACTAATTGTGATAACATACTCAAACTTGAGAGCCACTAATCTCAATAATCTCTATTATCCCTGGTCAAGCAGTCAGGGTGCTTAAGTCAGCTATAAGCAATTTTTGTCCAGGTTTTGTAAATCTTTTGAAAGGTATTAAAATTTCAATAAATATTTTTAGTATTTTGGTGGTGTTATTTCTATATTGATAAGTGAGTGCCAATTTTGAAATCACCTTCTTTTAAGAATTTGGGGTAGACCAACATATTAGAAAGCATTGGTAAACTGTGGGAGAATGCTTCCTTTACCAGAACAACAAATTAAAGGATATATAATTGTGGAAAGCTTATTCATTCAACCATTATGTATCTAACATCATAGACTCTGGCTTTATAAATCTAAGATTGGTAGACTGAATTCTGGTACAAGAAAGTTACTTCTTTCTAACCCATAATCTAAATGAATTTTAGAAAAAAGTAAAAGAGTACCAATTTTTAAAAATCCATCCAGAGCATTCTCTAGTTCAAAATCAAGAGTAGGAAAGGTACATGTTTTCTATTCTGCCTGGTATATGTTTAATAAAATATTTGTTAGATGTTTCAGTGTTTCACACACTTTATCAAATTAACAGCCTTGTTTCCTAAGTTTCTATATCTAAAACACCTAAGTCCAAATTGTTTGCATATTACTTCAAACAAAAACGTTTCTAAACACAATTAGACAATCTTTGTCTAATATCACCTTTTGTTTGGGTGGGGATATGTCTCAACCCGAGTAGAAAGAACAATCTAGATTAATACACTGCAAGTCAATAAGCCACTGGTAAAGAAAAAAAATCCTAACTTGTACCTGATTTACTCCAGGAGTGAGTAGTTCCCTATATGACAGGCAAAGAGAAATGTTTTTACCTTACCAATGCCACATCTTGTCAGCATTTCAGCAGTCACACTACCTACTCCACCAACACCTACTATTGCTACGGCAAAGGTACGGATTTTCTGTGAAATATAAAATAGTATATGTTGGTTAATAGCTCTTCATCAAATATGTCACCAGAAGTTATTTTAATTTACTGAATTAATCTTACAAAAACTTGGAAAGGGTTTATCATACCTCATAGTCGCTTACAATTCCCATTCGTTTCAATGCCATCAAGCGGCTTAAAACAAAGAAAAATATGTTTTAAAGCTTACAGTCTTTTAGGTATTAGTAATACAAATAGACATACATCATCACAGAAAATAAACACCAAAATATAATCATTACTAATCGTTTCAAAGAGGAGGATGCTTACAGGCTGGTTTTTACCAGATGAAACTAAATTACCCAGGCACCGTTTAAAAAAACTCTCCCAAGTGTAGCATATGAAACAAGATTGGTTTTTAAAAGCTATGTATTCTGATTTGCAGCCAAGATTGCGACTACTACTTAAATGTTAAGGGTCAAAGTTAAATTTCAACATTTTTCTATGCTTTGGTAGAATATGTAAATATTTAATGTTTTAACACTCAGATCTCCATCATCAGAGTAAATTCATGGCTGGAATTCCATTCTCTTGTTGCCTCTGCCCACAATAGATGATGTATACTTTTAGTAAGCACCTACTGTATGCCAAAGACTCTAAGAGGTGCTTTAACTAGTTACTGGTAATCTGCAGTTTAAGTCTATGGTTAATTCCCATTCATCTTCACTTTAAGGAGTCAAATAGTTCCACCAGGCTTGTTAGGAAATTCAGCCTCCACCCCCATTTTCCTCTCCCTCACTTTTAAGTCCATTACCATCATATTCCTAAACAACATGCTAACATTGTTATTTCTTTTCAGTTTTAGTCAATTACGTGAATCAGATTTTGCTCTTAGCATTCATCCCCACTGCACGCAGACATCTTCCATCCCACCAACTTCCCAATATTGTTAGATAGTCATCTTGGTTAGATGTTAACTCTTCACAACTGGGCCATGCAATATATTAAAACTTACCCTTTCCTCTAACTCCCAACCCTGAAGTTAATAAGTATGTTTCTCCTGATGCTTAATTTCCTATGTATTTTCACAAATTCAACCGCCAACTTTCCACTAGTTATCTAAAGTTCCTCTAGATACATTCATATTCATGAGGTATTCTATCAATTTCATCTTCTTAAAGATGTATCTCCTAGAATCTGACATGATTGTCTCTAGACTTACTGCACATACAGCTCCCTTCCTAGGCTCTTCCTTCATCATTATACTACAAAGTCTCTTAATTTCTTTATTCTGTATTAATCCACTGTTTCCTGTATGCTATAGCTCACTAGTTCTAAAGTGTCTATGGATCAACAACAGGACCACCTGAGAATTTAATAGAAATGCAATTTCTTAGGCCCTACCCTATAATCACCCACTGAATCAGAAATCTTGAATGTGGAGTCCAACAATTTGCTTTAACAAGCCCTCCAGTAATTCTGATGCACATGACAGTTTAAAACACTGTCATCAATTATTTTTAAACTTACTCTCTTGCTGTGGTTAGAAGAACATCTTCCAGTAGTTTTGCAAAGGGTACGGCAAAGGTAAATTTTGAGAACTTTCATTTCTGAAAATGTTCCTTATCAAAATTATATTCTTTATAAAAATGACAAAGCAAAGGGCATATAATTGTGGGAAGCTACACATATACTCTTAATCGATAGTTTAACTTGGTAAAGAAGTCTAAAGTTAGAATTGTCTTTCAACATTTTAAGGTATTGCTCCAGTGTCTCCTAGCTTGTAAAATTTCACAGTGTGCCTTAATGTGAATCTGTTCTCATCCCTTGTGCTGAGTTTTTAGTGGACTCTTTCAAAATGAAAACTCACATTTTCAGTTCTGGGAAATGTCCTTGAAGAATCTGGTTACTTCCTTGTTTGGTTTGTTTTTCCTGGACTATCTGGAACTCCTATTATTTGGAAGTTGAACCATCTGGATTTGTCCTTTATCTTCTTTCTCCAGTTATCTACTATTTTAGTTTTCTGCTCTATTCTCTGGATGATTTCTTTCAACTTTATTTTCCAACACTTCTATTAAGATTTTCATTTCTATTACCATCTCCATTTGCAAGAATTCCTGATCATCTAAATACTTTGCACCTTGTTCCTGTATCATTTGTACCATATCTTCTCTCATCTAAGGATACTAATGATAATTTAGGGGGATGTGTTTATCTTACATAGTCTATCCAAGTTGCTATTTTTATTTCTTTCATGTTAGAAGTTTCTTTCATCCTTTGTTCTGTTCATATTTAAGTGTGGGACACTAATAAAGGTAACAATATAGGCAATAACTGTTTGACTTTGGACTTCACTGTAGGGTCATCTGGCCAGACTATTTAGTTGAGAAACCCACAATGTCAGTGTCTTTCAGTCTTTCCTCTTGGCTCTATCAGATTCCCTAGAGAATAATCTTTCAAACTCCAACCTGAGTTGGAGTTCCAACCCCACGATCAGCTGTTGGAAGTGAAGAAGCAAGGCTGGGAGTCTCGACACTCAGTATGTAAGCATTTAGTTTACATTCAGTCACAGCATTCAGCATGTAAACAATCAGTTTACCCCTTCCTTCAGGTACAAAGACCTGCCCCAATTATTCTTGGAAATCTTCTATTTTACTCTTTCTAATGAAGAAATCTCTACTCTCCTCTTCTGGTAGGGAAGGAGTGTTTGCCCAGTTACCCACAGTGGAGTAGGGGATCTGGGGCTTTTGTTTCTTCAACAGATTTTCAACTGAAAGTTTTTTTTAGCCCTACCTGAAGTTCTGCAAGTACCTGTGCCTATTCCTGAGCCTTTTGGGGGATTCTTGCAATAAACTGGGTTGCGAGCTTAAGATTAAACTTCTCTGAATCTATTAAATCAGTTACCTTCACCCATCCCTTCTCTAGTTTCCAAATTGTTACTATAATCAAGTACAGGGACCCACCCCTCCCTATCAGTTATTAATACGAACCCTTTATATTTTCAATGGGAGTTTCTTTTAAAAAATTCCTTTACTGTCACTTTAGTGAGGTTGGGTAGAAAGTGATGGCAGATCCATCACAGGAATTTGCTATCCTTACCTTGATGCTCCCTTCAATCTTTAAATAATCTGAGAAGCATGGATGGCAACCCCCTTTTACAGATGAGGGAAACGGTTTGGGTTAATCAACTGCCCAAAATCAGCTAACTGGCAAGTGGTATTCTGAGCTGGGTTTCTGAGCCAGGATTTGATACCAGGTTTTCTAATCTCAAAGCCTCTCCAATTTTTCCACATGCTTATAACTATATTCCATAACACATAATTTTACGGTTACTTGTGTTTTTTAATATCCCACCTCCATGTAGTCTCTCAAACTGAAGCAAAAGTCAGGTGCTTTATATTTCTTTTGTATCTCTTGAAGCAATTAAAATGGTGTTGAACACATACATATCCCTTTCCTATAACCTTTTGTACTTTATCATAATTCAATAACCTGTACTTTATCAATAATAACACTGTACTTTATCATAATTCTTATCACCTGTACTGCAATGGCATGTTTACTTTTCTATTTATCTCACACTCATCTGGTAAGCTCTAGAGGGAAAAGACCATGTCTACTTTATATTCACAGTGTCTGCACACAATAAGTACTCAATACAAAGTAAATAATATTGTCAAGGAGGACTGGAGACAAAAATGTACTCAGTAAATATTTGCTGTATGAACAATTCAAAAAATTAAAGCTGAACTTTATTAAAATTCCATATATCAGTGAACAGCTTTGGGTATCAAACTGCCATCTCCTGTATAGCAATTTTAATAAAGTCAATGGTGCAAATCAGATAGAAAATACTACATATTTAGACTTGAGTTCTGAAAGTTTTGTTATAATTACAATGTCAAGGGATCATCTCATATTAAATAATGTCTGAAAGACAACTTAAATTCATGACCCATATTCCTCTGCTTTTCATTCTGGAGGGAAAATTTCAAAGTCTTCATTTGTAAAATTTTAAAATGTTTTAAAAATGTCAAATAGTTTCCACTTATTCTGATTAGAGATGTCAGTTCATGCTTATTTAATCTCTAAAAATTCTGGACCATTAACCGTTCATATTTGGCAACACAGTTAAAACAGTGCACCCTAAGACTTCTACTGCGGCTTTATATATCACAAACTAAAACCTTTTTTAAAAATCAAAACTGTTATGCTCTTTAAAGGAAAAAAGCAACAATAAAATCTTCCTTATCTACTTTAACACTATACAATTTTTAGCTACACGACTTAATTGTTTTTACTGGGGAGACGGTTCATGAGAATTTTACATTAAGACAAATCTAATGCAAGACAGGCCTTATTATTTACTACCAAGGCATGAACCTGAGGTGGCTCTCTAAGCCTCAATTTTCTCACTTATATAATGGGGGTAAAATAGTAGCAATCTCATAGGGTTTTGGTGGGAGGAGACAATGCATGTAAAGTGCTTACACAGTGAAAGCTCAATAACTGCTTGCTACTAAATGCACCTAGCAATAAAATCTTGTATAAGGCTTGCCATGTACAAGCGCTACTCTAAGACCTTTATACATACTGATTTTTTCAATCCCCACAACTATGACAGAGATAGATATTACTATTATCTTCATTGTACAGGTGAGAAGCTGAAGCGGAAAGTTTCACAACTTGCCAAAGGTTAGGCAGTTACGAAGAGAGTAGTTAGATTTGAATTGCAATCAGTCTGGCGGTAGAGTCCTTACCCTTAACCATTGCACTATATTCCATCTGCTGAATTGATAAGCTTTGTTAGGAAAGAAGAAAAGAGAGGCCTGGGCAGTCTTGGTAATGTCGAATGGTTTGAGATGTTAAGGAGCACCCGAATATCTCAGAATAGAGCTAACCCCGCTCTCCCCCGCCCCGACCCCATTTAAGATGCATTGATAAGCCTTTAATGAAACTCAAAGTTTACCTTAGCAGGTTTAATATTTGATCTCATCTTCTGAAAGTTCTTACTATCAGTCTTATACACAGCGAGGCGGACTAATTAAGAGGCAAGGGTGATAGGAAACTGGACACACGTCCTCAGCAGGCACAGGAGCAGCACCATATGGCTGACTCACTGGAGGTTTTTAAAAAAGAGAAAGAATATCTTCCGATCAGTACTAAGATGTGGCCTTGCCCATTTGGGAACAGGATTCGCAGACCAAGAAAAGGGTGGCGGGCGTCCCCATGAGCGGGACGTGGGAAGCGCCTCACTTCTGACCTCACGGAGCCTGACCTCGTCCCCCGCGCCTGCCTCCGACCGGCGACGCAGGTTACCTGTAGGGATTCGAATCCACCACCTCTGAGCTCATCTTCTCGATGCGGACCCGGCCGCCCCCTCCGTCGCCGCTCCTCGGGACCTGCAGACTCCTCTCCTGGGCAAGTTCCCGCTCCAGCTCCTGGACCCGCTGCTGCAGGCGCTCCACAGACTCCGCCATGGCTGGGACTCCGGCCGCCAACGCTCCCAGCCCGGGCCTTCGCCGCCGCCTTCGCCCCACGTTGCTCGGCTGGGCCCGCGAGGGGTACGTGGGGAGGCACCTCGCCGCTGCCTTCCTAGCCCAGAGCCCTGGGGACGTGCACCCAGCGCCTCACAGACAGACACGTCTCCGAGACTCCCACAGGCCTTCCTCGGAGCCGCTTCCGGTGCGTCGCAGACATCGCTCCCCCTCATCAAAAACCTGGCTCTTTCGGCTTCCTTCCTCGCTGGGCCGGCTAAACCCGGCCGCAGCAGCACCGGGGTGATAAGTGTCCAGGGCAGGAGGCCAGCGATGTTGCCTTGCTAACCGGGTATCTAAGAGAAACAGGGTCTTTTTATTCTTAGGCTCGACAGTCTGACGGCCCTTTTTCTGAACGGGACCCTGCAGGTCTTCCGCCTGCTGTTGCATTAAATTTGGGGGTGGAAGAGGCTTCTGCGTTGTTCCTTACCCGCAACGATGACCATGGCTTTGCCTTCTTTAAAATTGAGGCCTCCAACTCTGACGCTGACTGGAGAATTGAAACCCGAACACACATTGGGCTCTTTTGGCACTTGACTAGAGCTAAAACCTCGGGATTCAGCGGGCAAGCGTTGCTCAGCAACGGCGCGTAGGCTGTGTGCGGTTGGCTGGAGCCAGACCCCACCCCGGCCTCGGCCCATGCTCTAGAGGGGACGTTGCCCCAATCCTGAAGGACTTCGGCACTCGAGACCTGTGGATGCCGCGTTGCTGTGGCCTGCGGGGGTGATCATGAAGCCAGGTGCTACTGGCGAGTCCGATTTGGCCGAAGTGCTGCCCCAGCACAAGTTCGACAGCAAGTCCCTGGAGGCCTACCTAAACCAGCACTTGTCTGGCTTTGGGGCCGAACGTGAGGCTACGCTGACCATTGCCCAGTACAGGTATGGATGTCAGCCTTTGCCTCCAGCGGAAAAAAATTTGTACATTGAGTTTTCCTTCCTTTGGCCCTGGGTGGTTTCCTAAGTTTCTCCCACCCTGATTGCTTTTCCTGCAGTCAGTGGACGCACCCTACAGGCATGAGCTGCTATTGCCGGCCCTCCGAATTCGATGCTGGGGGCTTCCCAATTGGAGGGCGGTAATGGAAGCGCAATAACGTTCACCATTCTACTATCCAAAGGAATCTTTGTTAAAGGATGGATTTATGTCCCTTGAGGATTCACCAAGGCAATTAAGGCTACAAATTCTGAGAAATAGATGCCTTCTTTTGTGATACAGCCATTAGATCTTTTTCTGAGAAGCTGGTGTAATTCCGTTTGATTGGCCGTATTCCGGGAGGCTGAGTTAATGACACCAGATGGAGGATCCGAATTCGAGTACTAGCTTTTCCACTTAGGAGGTCACAGCACCACTTTGGGCCTCAGGTTTTTTGAAGTGAGGTAATGGAACTGAGTGAGAGGATCCTGAGAGTAGCGTTCCCCACCGGGAATCTGGCTTTAGTCTGATGTTTTACAATAGATAATACATTCTTAAAACTTTATTCTAAAAATAACATTGTTACTAATACAGGGCTACAGAAAGAGTCCTATCATTCAGAAAACTGGATCTGTCACTTGCTGTCTGGGAGTTTAAATATGTTACATAAACACTCTGAGAACTAGTTTCCTAAGTTGTAATACCTATTTTGATTAGTCTTATTAATGAAATGAAATACCGTAATATAGGTGAAAGGGCGTAAAAATTGCAACAACATAGTGTGCTAGTGGTATTTTATCACTAGCATTTATATTCTTTGACTACTGATTTTGGTGAAAATGAAAATAATAATAAATGAGATGGATCAGGGAACATTTTAGGGTGTAGAATTTAAAGGTCCCATGTCCCAATAGATATTGGAAGATGAAGGGAAAGGTGGAATAAAGAATAGCTGAGATTTCTAGGCTAGAAGCCTTGTGTTGTAACAAACTGAAACAGATCAAAGTTCAAATTTCAACTATTTCAATTGCTGTGGAATTTGGACAAGTTACCCTTTGAACATCTAGTCCTGCTTTGGCAAAAAGGAGATAGTAACGTTCATATTGTAGGAGTGTTGAAGAGGTACATAACTGAAAGATACTTAATTCTGAACCAAGCTGAATGTTAAACCATAACCGTGTTCAAAAAATGAAATTAGTTGTAAATTAGTTGTGGTATAAAAATTGCTTCCAGAAATGTTGTATAAGCTTGGTTTAATAAATATATATGGAACTCTGGATCCCACAGAGAACACACATTCATTTCTAGGACACATGAAAAAGTTTATAAAAATTGAAAACACATAGGCCATGAAGGAAGTCTCAGAAACTCAAAAGAATCAATCTTTATATTTTGAAAATGTGTGTTTTGGCCAGGTGCAGTGACTCACACTTGTAATCCCAGCACTTTGGGAGGCCGAGGCACGTGGATCACTTGAGGTCAGGAGTTCAAGACCAGCCTGGCCAACATGGTGAAACCCCCATCTCTACTAAAGATACAAAAATTAGCCGGGCGTGGTGGCACGTGCCTGTAGTCCCAGCTACTTGGGATGCTGAGGCAGGAGAATCGCTTGAACCAGGAGAGGGAGGTTGCAGTGAGCCAAGATTGCACCACCATGCTCCAGCCTAGGTGACAGAGTGAGACTCAAAAAAAAAAAAAAAAAAAAGGAATATGTGTTTTTTTAATACCAAAAGTTTAACAGAAGATAGCTAACAAATACATGTTTATAAATTAAGTGATTCATGGATTAAAGAGCCAATAATCTACATAGACAGTAAAAGACTATCAAAGTTCAGTGTACAGAAATCAACTGCATTTCTCTACTTTAGCAACAGTTAAAATGTAATTTTCAAAAACTTACAGGAGCATCAAAAATATAAATTACCTAAGTAAAAGATGTGCAATACCTTTGTAGAGAAATGATAAAACTTTTATTAGGACCTTAAAAAGAATTTTAAAAATTGAGAGATGCCATGTTGTTGAATAGGAATATTCAATATTGCAAACTTTTTTCTTCCAGTTGATCTATTGATTCAAAGCAATGACAATCAAAATCCTAATTTTTTTCTCTAATTTGAAAAAGTGCTCCTAAATTTTATGTGTAAGAGCGAAGGGCTAAGGATAGCAGAAACATTTTTAAAGAACCACAAGGTGGGAAATTTGAGTTAAGATGGTATGATATTAGCACAGAGATAGACAGACCAATAAAATAGAACAGAGAGTTCACAGAAAGACCCACATATTTATAGAAGTTTGATAAGTGACAATGTTGGCACTGAGAGTCAGTGGGGGGAAAAGAAGAACTTTTCAAGAAGTTATACTGGAATAATTGTTATCTGTATGAAGAAATAGAAATTAGACTCTTTATCTCACACAGTTCCAGGTAGATAAAAGAACTGAATGTTAAACTATAAATGTTTGGAAGATGTGTAAGTTATATTTTTGACTTTAGAGAAGAAAATATTTTAAAGACAACAGCAGAAACCACAAAGGAAATGACTGATAAATTTTCATTAAAAGACTTAAAGTGAAAAGACAGAAGAAAATATTTTCAGTGCATATAATGGTTAAAATATTCAGAATATAACTATAATAGCTCACCAGAAAAATGGGCGAAAACTTGATGATGCTCAACTTTATTATACTGTAGTAATAAGGGAAATGCAAATTAAAAAAAAAAAAACAACACAATGAGAAACCATTTCACACCACCAAATTGACTTTTAAAAAATCTGACAATAGACTGGGTGCAGTGGCTCATGCCTGTAATCCCAGCACTTTGGGAGGCTGAAGCAGGTGGATCACCAGAGGTCGAGTTCGAGACCAGCCTGGCCAACATGGTGAAACCCCGTCTCTACTAAAAATACGAAATTAGCTGGGTGTGGTGGTGGGTACCTGTAAATCCCAGCTACTCGGGAGGCTGAGGCAGGAGAATTGCTTGAACCTGGGAGGCAGAGGCTTTAGTGAGCTGAGATCACAGCACTGCACTCCAGTCTGGGTGAGTCAGAGGCAGACTCCGTCTCAAAAAAAAAAAAAATCTGACAATATCAAGCATCAGGATATGGGGCAACAGGGACTCATATAGGGGTGTGAATTAGTATAGCTGCTATTGAAAAATAACTCAACATGATCTTGTAAAAATGAAGTTGGGAAGATACACATGACCTATGACCTAGCAGTTCTACTCATAGATACATACTCCTGAGACTTTTCTTGTACTACAGTATAAGGGGACAATCTACAAAGATGTTCATTGTACTGTTTGTAATAGCAAAAATCCAGGAAACAACACAATGTCTATAGATACAGAATGGATGAATAAATTGCAGTATATTCACATAATGGAGTAGCATACAACAGTGAAAATGATTCAGCTACAGCTGTACATAACACAGAATGAAAAACGTGAAGAAATTAACAGTATATTATATACAGAGATAAACTTCAAGGGAATGATAAATATAAAATTCAGAATGGTAGTCACTCAAGGGGAAGGACATACAGGGTTTCAAAGACAGTAATTTTCTCCGGGTAGTGAAAATGGTGTTTGTGGCATTACTATTCCTCATGCCTTACCAATTTCATAAATACTCTTTTTATCTGCAAGATTTACTTTTAAAATTTGCAAAAATTAAATCTTATTGGAAAGATAAAATATTTAGAATTAATCAATAATGAAAGTATTATATAGCTTGATACAACAAAACTTGTGATTTGCAGCTGAGTGCCTAATATGTATCTGGCACTGTATCAACCACTGAGGATGTAACAATAATCTTGCCTCCCTGGAACTTCCATTGTATTTGTAGAAGACAGACAGGAAAATCAGCTTCTGAACTTTACAATGTAGAAGTTGATATGTAACATGGAGGAAAAGAGAATAGGAAATGTTTGGGTGTGGGGCAGGAAGATTTCCTCGAGCACACGGCATTCAGCAAAGACTTGAAGGGGGATGAAAATGTGAGCCATGTAAATATCCAGGAAAAGAGTGTTCCAGACAGAGGGGACTGCTAATGCAAAGGCCCTGGAAGGGATGTGTGCCCAGTGTGTTGAGGAAACACAGCCCAAATGCCTGAAGTAGTGTAAGCAAGGGCAACAGGGACCCTGTCAGGCAATAAAGAGACTTTGGCTTTTACTTTGAATTGAGATGGAGAGAGACTTAAAACATGCTTGAGCAGAGGAGGGAAGTAATCTTTAAACAAACAAACAAACAACAACAACAAAAAAAACAGAATCTCTGCTTCTTGTGTTGAGAGTTGACTGAAGGGGCCAAGGGCAGAAGCAAGGACACCAATGTATTACAGTGTTCCAGCAGGGAGATATCAGTGGCATAGACCAGAGTGGGAGTGTAGAATGGGTAAGAAGTGGTCATAGTGTAAGTATATAGTCACATGCTGCATAATGACGTTTTGGTCAATGACGGGCTGCATATACGGCAGTGGTCCCATTAGATTATAATACTGTGTTTTTACTGTACCTTTTCTATGTTTAAATGTGTTTAGATACACAAATGCTTATCATTTTGTTACAATTAATTGCCTGCAGTATTCAGTACAGTCACATGCTGCACAGGTTTATAGCCTAGGAGCAGCAGGCTGTACCACAGAGCTCAGGTGTGTCCTATCGGGTTCAAATCAGCCTATTTATGCTAACTCCAACCAGCTGAGAAGTTTCACAACGAATCAGTGCCAATTAAATGCTTAGGAATTCACGATTTATTGTGTGGCTTCTACACAACAATCATGTAACTCTATCCAACACACATAGGCATTAATAGAGAAGGGAAACACAGCAAGTATTCTGGGAGACCAGCACACTGACTGAGAAAACCAGGTTTGGTTTTCCTCAGAATGCCCACTGACCTGGTGGTGGGTAGCTGCTCTTTTCCCAGAGGGCTTACCACAGCCAAAGGAAAGGAGGCCTCAGAGTTCTCATGGGCAGAGATTCTGCAGGCATCTCAGCCATGATTGGCTTTTACGGCTCTCCACAGACATCTCCATGGCCATTATCTTCAGCTGACTTTTGGCTTTACTTTCTTGTCAGGTGTCAGGGATGCCTGGCCACAGCAGATGCTATCTTATCACCTCAGTCCACCACACATATGCTTACTACTCTGAGTGGTCAGTGATTTCACTGTAAGCTGAGTCACTTGTCATAAGTGACTCCATTATGAGACATTTATGATCATAAAACATAATTATATATCAGTGCATAATAGGCTATACCATCTAGGTTTGTGTAAGTGCACTCTAGGATGTTTACACGTGACAAAAATCACTTAACAACATATTTTCCAGAACACATCCCTGTCATTAAGCAATGCATGACTGTATTTTGAAGGGTTTACTAACTGATTAAATGTGGGCTAGGAAAGGAAGAGACGAAGATTATTTCATTTCTGCCTTGGTAACTGAAAGAATAGGGTTATTGTGAACTGAAATGTAGGTGACTATAGAAAAGCAGATTTGAGGGGGAAATTTGAGGAACTCAGTTTTGGAGTGTTAAGTTTCAAGATGCCTTTTAGACATCCAAGTAGATATGTATAGTAAGCAGTTGGTTATGTCTTGAGGTCGGGGCAGAGATCTGGACTAGACATATAAATTTGAGAGCCATCGACAAAAAGAAGATATTTAAAGACATAAGATCGAAGGTCTTACTTAGAAAATAGTTCACATAAAAAGGAGGTTTGGAGACTGAGTCCAAGGCACCCCAATATTAAGAAGTTAGCAAATTAAGAGAAACCTACAAAGGAGTCTTAGAAGAAGTGGCCAAAGAGGTGGGGGAAAACCATGGTTTGTATTAGTGATCTTGAAAAAGTAGTATTAATGGAAAGAAGGGAATGAAAGCTTGATTGAAATGGGTTTAAGAAGATAGGAGGAGGACGTGTAATCTCTTGAGGAGTTTTTCTACGAAAGGAAATAGAAATGTTTTAAGTAGGGGGGAAGTGAGGTCAAGAGAAAGCTTTTTAAAAAATAACATCATATTTGTATGCTGATGACAGTAATCTAGAAGAGAAAATTTTGTGTAGGAGAGAGGCCTGGAAAGAAGTCCTTAAGAAGGCAGGACTCTAATATGCAAGAGAAGGGGTTGCCCTTAGATAGAAATGTGCACGTCCTTCTGCAGACTTTGGAGGGAAGACAGAATATATGTGTACAGATTATTGTATGCAGTAGATACAGTAGTGTAAGCTTGTGGAAGTTCTCATCTGATTGCTCCTATTTGCTCGTTGAAATAGGAACCTAGGTAATTAATTAGCTGAGAATGAAGATGGAGAAGAAAGTGTTTGAGGTTTGAGGAGAGAGAATTATGAAACAGCCATCCAAGAGAATGGGAGAATAAATGAGCTAAGGAAATATGATTGCCAGATGTGGTTCACTTTGAGGTTTGCTGAGGTCATGAATTTGAAGCAAGAATAGATATTTCAGTAGATATTACTAATGCTTTGTCCAGATCCTCTTGGATCCCTTTCTAGTGTTGCTGTACATGTCCTGCCTTTGTTGGTTTTTGCTTCCAATAAACAGCATCTATGCCTCTTTTTTTGGTAAACTGCCCTCAGGCTATTGGAGCACCCTTTGCTCTTACTGTTGTAGTACCTGAGGTGGACCTTAACCAATAGTGATTCAGAAGTATGAAATTTTCATTATCCTTGCTTCAGAGACATGTTTTGAACTTTGACACGGCAGAGTTCCCCCATTACCTTTACCCCCACCTACACACTGGTGAGATCAGGCTGAAGCTACCCTCTAAGGGACTTTGTCTTAGATCACACCTTTGCTTAGCTTTCTCCCCTTTCTTGACCTGCTTCCCCAAATTTCTTATTAGTTCCCCAAACATTTCCTTAATAAGTCACTTGTATATAATTTTTTTTCTCATGATCTGTTTATTGGGAACCTAACCTAAAACAGTAATTATGACTGTATGTGTCTTTCTTCAGCTATGGCCAGTTATATCAGTGTAAGCAAAAAAAAAATGGATTTAACATGGATGGGAGTTTTGCCAAGCAAACACCATGAAGTGAGGAAAGGGCAAGTGAAGTATACTGAAGGTGTATTCAAGGTAGTGGTTATATGATTTGCTATCAAATTTAACCTAGTTAAGGAAAGATTTATTAGTCTGTTCTCATATTGCTAATAAAGACATACCCGAGACTGGGTAATTTATAAAGGAAAGAGGTTTAATGGACTCACAGTTCCACATGGCTGGGGAGTCCTCACAATCATGGCAGAAGACAAAGGAAAAGCAAAGGGATGTCTTACATGAAGTCAGGCAAGAGAGAATGTGTACAGGGGAACTCTCCATTATAAAACCATCAGATCTCATGAGACTTATTCACCATCATGAGAACAGCACAGGAAAGACCCACTGCCATTATTCAATTACCTCCTACCAGGTCTCACCCATGATACATGGGAATTGGGAATTATGGGAGCTACAATTCAAGATAAGATTTGGGTGGGGACACAGCCAAACCATATCATTCCACCCCTGACCCTTCCCAAACGTCATGTCCTCATATTTTAAAATGAATCATGCCTTCTGACAGTCCCCCAAAGTCTTATTTCAGCATTAACTCAAAAGTCCACCGTCCAAAGTCTCATCTGAGACAAGGTAAGTCCCTTCTGCCTATGAGCCTGTAAAATCAAAAGCAAGCTAGTTACTTCCTAGATACAATGGGGGTACAGGCATTAGGTAAATATACCTGTTCCAAATGAGAGAAATTGTCCAAAATAAAAGGGGCTACAGGCCCCATGCAAGTCCAAAATCCAGTGGGACAGTCTTAAAGTTCTAAAATGATATCCTTTGACTCCATGTTCACATCCAGGTCACAGTGATGCAAGAGGTGGGCTCCCACAGTCTTGGGCAAAGGATATGGTCGGGGGATATGAGGTGAATGGCAGTATGATCAATGGATGGTAGGTCAAGTATTGATTGAAGGATTGTTGGAATTGAGGCACTAGCAGGAGTGAGTGGAAAGGTAGGAGGTTAGAGGTAGAAATGTTTAGAAACTAGGATTATTCAGTGCTTTTACTGTTGATATTGCTAAAGTGTAGGGTGTAACTCCTAGAATTACTGGCTGAGATAGTGTCAAGGAAAATATCACTGGTGGAGAAAATTCAAGGAACTGATGGGCCTAAATGTTAAAAGGGACATCTGTGTAGATTTTGAAATCAGTAATTAAGACAGGAGTAGTGTTAATGAGAGTAATAGTGAATTATGCCAAGATCCTTAAGAAATGAGGAGAAATGATCTGAGAGTTAGTAGGTGACTGCAAGAAAAAGGGGTAGAGGGTGGCAGAGTCTCATGGCCTGAGATTCAAAGCTGAGGGAAGAATTTACACAGGAGGGAGAGCAAAGAGTCTGGAAGTAGCAATGAGTTTCAGGAAGGATACAGACTCCATCCAGGCTTACTAGAAGACTGATGTGGGAAAAACATCTACCACTTAAGAAGCCTACAAAGGAAACAGGATCCTCATGGAATATTCAGGTTTTAGTTAGAGCAAGGAGGTGAAGGGTCTATTCAGAGAAGATATTGAAGCTGTATGGAATTGTGAAAGACTGTGAGTTCCAGGGGCACAGTGGAAGGATATCAGGAGTTGAGGGGGTGGAGAAGATGTGGGAGAAAATAGGGAATGTGCAGAGCCTTATGGGAATTACAATGCAGTAAACAAGTATAAAAGGGGAATTTGGGACTTCTGGTATTGATGATATAAAGAGGGATAAAGAACACAATGAAACCAGTTCCGGTGGTCTCAAGGTAGTAGTGCTGTCAGTGATAGGAAATGGGAAGTTGTAGGTATGTATTGGGGCTGGGGAGGGACAGTCTTACACTAAGTTAAGTAGTCTGGACTCACTGTTTTTCTTATTTTTTTAGTGATGCCAACTTTAAAAGCCTTTGTCCTCTATCATGAATTGTACTTTCTACCTATTTATCATGTGGATAAAGTGCAACTGTATTTCCTTACCCTGTGTATATTCAGATATTCAAAATGTCTAATAATATATGAAATAGCAGCCCAAGTATGATTTTTTAAAAAAACTGTCACTAAACTGACTTCCTACAAATCAGAGTAGGATTTCATGACTGTGTGTTCATGTTCAAACTTCATGTTGAGTTTTGGTTGCCTTATTCTGTTTCTGTAGTCATGGTTCCAGAAGACACACCTCTAGAGGATGGGCAACCACTTCTAGGGAAGTCCCTAGCAAAGCACCTAGCATGGTGCTAGCTCTGTTACACTGTGATAACGGCAGGGTTTTTACCCTCTCCAGCTCTTTTGGCTGATGTTAAATTCTTCCTTCTCAGTAATGAGATTCTTGACCAGTCATTGATGACTCCATTGCACTTGTCAGGAGTCTTGTGTTTGACTTCATCTTTGATTCTGCTTTGCCGTCTCTCATTTTTCACTGTGGCCTATTGAATACATAGGATCTGAGCAACTTCTTACAAGAAACTCTGTCTCTTTGTTTCTCGTTTTCCAGCTTTGTACTTCTATGCCTCTTGGACCAAATACTCAGTGTTTCCATGGGCAAACACTGGGTCATTTGTCTTTTAATCTTCTTTTTTCCTGATCTCTTATCAACAGCAAACACATTTGAGATGCTGTTGGCATCAATATAAAAAGTTATTTAAATTTGTGGAAATCCAAAGGGTTTAGGAGGAATGCCCGTGAGTTCAAATTTGCCGGGCTGGTTGTTATCCTTCATCATTGCTCACTCAATTTTGTAAACCTTAATGAGCAAACCTGAAGGGGGCCAGCCCCTCCACACCTGTGGGTATTTCTAGTCAGTCTGGACAAGAGACTGAGAAAAGAAATAAGACACAGAGACAAAGTATATAGAAAGAAAAGTGGGCCCAGGGGACCGGCGCTCAGCATACGGAGGACCTTCACCAGCACCAGTCTCTGAGTTCCCTCAGTATTTATTAATTACTGTTTTCACTGTCTCAGCAAGAGCAATGTGGCAGGACAGCAGGGTGATAGTGGGGAGAAGGTCAGCAAGAAAACATGTGAGCAAAGGAATCTGTGTCACAAATAAGTTCAAGGGAAGGTACTATGCCTAGATGTGCACGTAGGCCAGATTTATGCTTTTCTCCACCCAAACATCTCAGTAGAGTAAAGAGTAACAGAGCAGCATTGCTGCCAACATGTCTCACCTCCCACCACAGGGTGGCTTTTCTCCTATCCCAGAATTAAACAAATGTACAATTGGGTTTTATACCGAGACATTCAGTTCCCAGGGGCAGGCAGGAGACAGTGGCCTTCCTGTATCTCCACTGCAAGAGGCTTTCCTCTTTTACTAATCCTCCTCAGCACAGACCCCCTACGGGTGTCGGGCTGGGGGACGGTCAGGTCTTTCCCATCTCACGGGGCCATATTTCAGACTATCACATGGGGAGAAACCTTGGACAATACCTGGCTTTCCAGGGCAGAGGTCCCTGCGGCTTTCCGCAGTGCATTGTGCCCCTGGTTTATCGAGACTGGAGAATGGTGATGACTTTTACCAAGCATACTGCCTGCCTGTAAACATTTTGTTAACAAGGCACATCTTGCACAGCCCTAGATCCCTTAAACCTTGATTCCATACAACACATGTTTCTGTGAGCTCAAGATTGGGGCAAAGTTACAGATTAACAGCATCTCAAGGCAAAGCAATTGTTCAGGGTACAGGTCAAAATGGAGTTTCTTTTGTCTTCCCTTTCTACATAGACACAGTAACAGTCTGATCTCTCTTTTCCCTACACAAACCAAACTGGTTGTCAGAGTAGATAGTTAGTGAAGGTCTGAGTCTGTTCAGTGGTTTTATTAAACGCACTTGGTCAGAATAGTCATGATTCCACTAGTCATGATTTCCACCAAAGGAAAAGGAGTAAAATTAAAAAGCAGCAAATCCTAAATATTTTCAAATCTCTGCACAAGGGATAAGTGGCTTCCTGGATATCCACAAACACAACTGATTCCCTTATCAGGGCCTATGCTTTTTTTTTTTTCCAGTTCCTTTCTGTTAAAAAATTCCTATAGGAATTTCTGAGTTTCTAAAGCTTAGAGATGCAGGTAGATGCACCCTCTAGGATGATGCCATGAGTCTGAGACTTGTTAACCGTGATATAAATAAAGGGTTAAAAATCTTTTCTCCTGCTCTATGGATAAATTTATTTAATTTTCTAGCTCTGTAATTCTGAAAACTTGGTAAAGGTGGCATATCAGATGTGTTTCCAGGCAACATTGCTTATGGTAAAAATAACATCTAATTAGTAAACTGCATCTGAACTGGAAGGTCTGTAAATGAACTGTTTAAGTATCTGGTGGAAAGGCATAGCTTTGGGCTTCCCTAAGTGTAGAGGGTTCTTTCAACTAGTTATGTCCTTTGCTAGGGCCCTGGAAGCTGGTGCCAAAAGACTGCTACTACAGATAATGGCTTCTGTAGGGCATGAGGCTTTACTATGATCTAAATGTTTGTGTCCCTCAAAAATTCATATGTTGAAATCCTTACTCCTAAGGTAATGATATTAAGAGGTGGGGGGTCTTTGGGAGATGATTAGATCATGAGTACAGTGACCTCAAGAATGGGATTAGTGTTATAAAAGAGACCCCAAAGAACTGCCTTGCCCCTTCCACCATGTGAGGAAAGAGCAAGAATGTGCCATCTATAAGAAAGTGGGTCCTCACCAGACACTGAATCTGCTGGTGCCTTGATTTTTGACTTCCCAGGCCCCAAAAATGTGAGAAATAAATATCTGTTGTTTATAAGCTACCCAGTCTATGGTATTTCATAATAGCAGTCTGAATAGACTACCAGCCTAAATAGACTAAGACTTCTAAATCAAGGTGGTACCCATACTCACCCATTTCCTGATCTCATTCCCTCTCACCTGAGCTGTCACCAAGGGGGAATGGGGGCATGGAGTAAACCCTGGACTGCTGCAAGGGGTCTGCTGAAGAAACTCATCTGATGCTGCCATGCCAGCATCCTGTTTTTCCTGTCTGTTTATGCTTCTAAGGGAACCAATGCTATGGATGGCTTAGTAGGGTCTCGTGAGATTGTCTGTTTAAAGTCTTCTCTAACCAAGTAAGTGTCCATGGCTGCACACTTACATGCAAAGATTTTCTATTTGTTAATGGAGGTTAGACACATCAAAAGTACCATCTCTTAGGTTATAGATCAACACATTTCTCTCAGCACCAAATATCTTGTCCAAGAACTAACCAATAGTTCTGACTATTGGTTCAATGATGATTCTTATATTGAGACCATCAATGGTTCTAGGCTATTTGGAGGCCTGATGGTTGGAGTAGTTAAATTTAGCAAGTACTGTATTGACAGTGTTGACAATGATCCTCCCATGCAAATGGGCTTCTGCAATTTTTTTTTGTCTTTGTTATAACCACTTTAGATACTTCCTCAAAAGAGAAACTTTTAATTGTTTTTGTTTGTTTTTGAGAAATTCATGTAACGTAACATTTAAAAATTTAACCGTTTTAAAGTGTACAAGTCAGTTGTTTTCCATATATTCACAATGTTATACAACCATCACCACTATCTAGTTCTAAAACATTTCCATCGCCCCCAAAGAAACCTCATAGTTCCCAATTTTTTCCTCCCCCATCCCTGGCTGCTACTAATCTACTTTCTGTCACTATGGATTTCCCTATCCTGGACATTTCATAGACATGGAATCACATAATATGTAGTCTTTTGTGACTAGCTTCTTTCACTTAACATAATATTTTCAAGATTCATCCATGTTGTAGCATGGATCGGCATTTTATTCCTGTATATTGCCAAACAATAATCCATTGTATAGATATACCACATTTTGTTTATCCTTTTGTCTGCAGACGGATATTTGAGCTGTTTCTAATTTTTGGCTGTTGTGAATTGTACTGCTGTGAACATTCATGTACAAGTTTTTGTGTTAATTTTATGTGTTCAGTTCTCTTGGATATATATGTAGAAGCAGACTTGCTGGGTCACTCTATCTTCAACAAGAAGCTTTTAGTTTTTTCTTTGTATTTCATTTGGGTCATTTACTATCATGAAAGACCAGTGCTTTATATAAGACTAGAGAACTGCCTCATCAAAAATGCATCCAATCAGATGTTTGGCATTTTTTAAAAAATGTGTTTGTAAGATTCATTGTTGCCAGACGTGATGGCTCACGCCTGTAATCCCAGCACTTTGGGAGGCCCAGGCAGGCGGATCACAAGCCTCATCAAAAATGCATCCAATCAGATGTTTGGCATTTTTTAAAAAATGTGTTTGTGAGATTCGTTGTTGCCAGACGCGGTGGCTCACTCCTGTAATCCCAGCACTTTGGGAGGCCCAGGCGGGCGGATCACGAGGTCAAGAGATCGAGACCACGGTGAAACCCCGTCTCTACTAAAAATACAAAAAATTAGCCGGGTGCGGTGGCGGGCGCCTGTAGTCCCAGCTACTGCGGAGGCTGAGGCAGGAGAATGGTGTGAACCCGGGAGGCAGAGCTTGCAGTGAGCCGAGATCGCGCCACTCCAGCCTGGGCGACAGAGCGAGACTCCGTCTCAAAAAAAAAAAAAAAAAGATTCGTTGCAATTGATGGTTTGCAGCATCAAAGATAAATTGTTCTATATCAATAAAGACAGCATAGCCTGTGGTGGTCCTATTTCCTGACCACTGGTGATTATCTCTACCTTCCTATGGTAAAAGGCACTCACTCAGGATTAGATGGTACCAAAACCAGTGCTCCTTGATATGATTGCCAGGGAGGATGGGTCTGATTTATAGAAGACATAGACACTGGGGCTGCTGCCAGACTCAATCTAGGCTCATGCTTGTTTTTTCCTGATGGAGGTTGGAGTCCTGGGAAGAAGCTCCAAAGATTTTTTTTTCTACTTTCTCCTATTACCTATTACCTTAAGGATTGATTCTTCTGTTTATTTAATTTAGGATCTCTCCTTTATACAGTTGGATTCTTCAAAAGTTGGGCGATTCTTAAATGCCCATATTATAAGTGAAGGAATAGACTGAATAGTTTTGGTAGCTGAAGTGTCTATCCTTAGTTTAGGTGAGAATTTCTGTTCATCTGGCAGGGAAAGTCAATGCCCTGGTGTCTGTGAGTTAGTTGGGCCAGCATTGCACTTCCCTGGGCCAGATGCTCACTGTGGGACCTCACTTCTCAGAACTCCCATTGTAGAGAGCTCAACTCACGCACTAGCCTTGTTGACACTTATGAGGGTTATCTCTCTAAAGGCAGATGAGGGGGCATTAAGCCAGCTGTTCCTGCATCTTTTAATTCATTTTCTGACTGATAACTAACAATCTCTTCTCAGATTGTTTATTTACTTAGATCAGTCATTGTTCTACAAGTTTACTTAGATCAGTCATTGTTCTACAGGTACTCCTGATAAAACTTAGGATTTGCAGTCAGGAAGTGGGGTCCTCTCTTCTACCTCTGTGAGTCACAGATTCTCCAGCTGCCAGTATGTTGCCATCTGCTTTAATATCATCTAGAAATTCATGTTGTGAGCTGCTGATAGCACCCCTCTTGATTTTCCAGCATTGAGATGAATTTATTTTCATTTGTTTCTTCTGACAT